>NC_000011.10:32181212-32332727 GCF_000001405.40 Homo sapiens | reverse complement strand
TATGTCTGCCCAGATTATTACTGCGTGTTCTTTTAAATCCAGGGGAAAGTTCTTTCCAACAAAGAACAAAGGACTTTGATCTTTACACTCTTAACAAAATATCTCTTATCCCGCCTTGTACTAGGTTTTGAGAATACTAAATTTCCATGAAAACTTTTCTTCCTTCCTTCCTTCCTTCTTTCCTTCTTTCCTTCCTTTCTTGATGAAGTTTCACTCTGTCGCCCAGGCTGGAGTGCAATGGCGCGATCTCAGCTCACTGCAACCTCTGCCTCCCGGGTTCAAGCGATTCTCCTGCCTCAGCAATGGCTCGATCTCATCTCACTGCAACCTCCACCTCCCAGGTTCAAGTGACTCTCCTGTCTCAGCCTCCTGAGTAGCTGGGATTACAGGCACCTGCCATCTTCCCTGGCTAATTTTTGTATTTTTGTAGAGAGGGAAGTTTCATCATGTTGGCCAGGCTGGTCTTGAACTCCTGACCTCAGGTGATCTACCCACCTCAGCCTCCGAAAATGCTGGGATTACAGGCGTGAGCCACTGTGCCTGGTCTCCATGAAACATTTCTTAAACTCTTAATCAGCATTTAATCAGAGCCCTCAGGGTCTTGCACTTCTGTTCCCTCTATCTAGAATGCTTTTCCCCTTCCTTTGTGTTGCTAGCTCCTCCTTATTCAGATCCCAGCTCACATAGCTGCATACCCCATGCAACATCGAGATTTTATGTACTTCAGAGCACTAACCACAATCTGAAATGGTTTCACTAGTTTCATTATTGCCTGTCACCCATTCCCTCAATGATATAAGCTACACAAAAGTAGACACCTTGATGTTTTGTTTGCTGTTGTATTCTAGAACCATATTCCCCCCACACCCCCAGCATCTACCAGGACTGGTATCTAGTAAATACTAAAAAATAAATAAATAAAAAGTTTGCAGTATAGAGTGAAGCCAGGAGAGCACTTACTAAGAGACTGTGCCCCTTGAGGAAGCATCTTTGGTCCCCTGTGTCCCACCCCTGCCTTTTCTCCTGGGTGGCTTAGGTGTAGTTGTTCGCAGTTGCTGTCTGACTCGCTGGCCCTTCTTAGGGTCCAACCTGCAGGATCCCAGGCCAGTCCCAGGAAATAAGACCTGGAGGCAGATGGGGCCTCAGGCAGTTTCTTTTGGGTCTGGATTTTGGACTAGAGAGCAACTGGGACTTTCCCCCAGAGGCCTGGGGACCGCTGGCCCCACGAACCCTCTGACCCTTTAGCACTTCCCAGCGCTTGGCTGCATGTGTGAGGTTCCGAGGTTCGTGCATGGTGGGAGCTGCTCGTGAAAGATGCTGTGTTTATTTTGGACTCCAGGCACAGGGAATAATTAGGGGAGTGACCTGCTGCTAAAGTTGAGGTCTTTCCTTGTGGGCTGGGCCACGAGGCTGCCGTCTGGCCTGCTTGCTGGCAAAGGCCATGGATTCCTGTGGATTCCTGCGTGGTTCTCAAGAACCACGTCTCTGAGAAAGCCTTCACAAGGAAGAGGCTGGGAGTGGCGTCAAAAAAGTTTGGGCTTTCTCGTGATTCCTTGGGGATTGGTGATTGTTGAGCACCCCCTGGGCAATACTAAAGTAGAGTGTCTGGGCCTGCTTGTCCTTTCTCAAGGCTGTACGGAGATCACAGGGTCTTACAGGCCCCCCTGGCTGGGGCCTGCATGTCCAGTGGGTGGAGTTCAAAGACCACAGCTGTAGAAGGAACTGGATGTTCTGGGAACTGCCAGTTGCCAGGTAGGGAGAAGCTTTTCCTTAAGCTTCACAGTGCCCGGCACAATGCCTGGCACACAGTGGGTGTTTAATAATAAATGTTCATTCAAGCATGAAGCATGGGAGTGCCCTTCAAACTGGGTTTGAAGTTCAGCTGTGTCAGATTTTTTGCAAACATAAGAGATTCCGTGAATGTAAACCCAGGAGGCCGACTGCCTGTTTTCAAATTCTGACCACTCCACTTACAAGCAGGAGATAATAATGTTATCCACTTCAAGGGATTGTTATGAGGACTAGAAATGAGAAATTTTGTAAAGCACTGAGAACAGAGGCTGGCACATAGTAAGTAATAGGGTACGTGCTAAAACAAATTTAGAATAGAATATGGAGAAGGTAAGAATTACCTCATGGGGAAGGAAAGGTGATGGAGTCAGGGAGGGGCACACTGGATATTTCAAAAATAGGTCATTTTCTTTTTTTTTGAACTGGGTGAATATATTGATCTTGTTATATTGTGATTCTTTATCCTTCACACATATTTTGTAAATGTTTTGGTATCTGCTCAAGATATGATACAAAATTTAAAACAGCAGACTCTGATGTGTCATATTGTTCATTTTAATGCACTGAAGACCTTGAGGCATTAACTTGTGTGACTTGTCTTGTTCTTTCACAACATTTTGAGGGAAATGCTATTATTAATATTAAGATTTCTAATGCTTAAGGTCTGGACTATTAAATACTGGAGCCAGGATTTAAATCAGAGTCTGTGTTCTTAATTGCTATGTATGGCATTTCTTATGTGTCACTGAGCTTTAACAAAAGCTTTGTATCTGAGCTTTAACAAAATGAAATCCATTACCTGCCAGTGTCCACTGACATGAAATTGCACATTATGACACATCTGTGTGAATTTGGATTTTTCTCAATGCATGAAACCAAGTCAAAAAGCAGAAATAAACTGGATACAGGAATGACTGACTGTGAATGGACACCCCTAATCTTCTACTTCTATTTAGCAAAACAGCCTACTATTCTCAGTAGTTCACTTGATGATAATAAGAAATGCTATACATTTTAATTTAAAGTAAATATACAGACAGCCTCCCTAAAATTATGATTATTCAACTTCACAATGATGTGAAAGCAATATGTCATGCTTTGAATTTTGATCTTTTCTGGAGTTAGTGATGTGTGGTAGGATACTCTCTTGCCATGCTGTTGTAGCTACAGGGAGCTATGACGTGTTTAATAAGGTAGGCTAGGGTAGGCTAAGCCATGATGTTTAGTAGGTCAGGTGTGTGAACAAAAGTTCTTTGAAAAAGACTTTAGAGGAAAGAGACTTTATTCCAGTAAACTATTTGCAAACTGGGGAGAGGCAGCCTTTGATATAAAATAAAAGTACATTCTAGAGAACGCAGGGTGTCTTGTTTGTTTGTTTTTTGACGGAGTCTCACTCTGTCACTTGGCTGGAGTGCAATGGTGTGATCTCGGCTCACTGCAACCTCTGACTCCCTGGTTCAAGTGATTCTCCTGCTTCAGCCTCACAGGTAGCTGGGATTACAGGCATGCGCCACCACGCCCAGCTAATTTTTTGTATTTTTAGTAGAGACGGGGTTGCACCATGTCGGCCAGGATGGAGGTGGTTTTATTTATTTTTAATTTATTTATATTTATTATTATAATTTTTTTTGCGACGTAGTTTTGCTCTTGTTGCCCAGGCTAGCGTGCAATGGCGCCATTTCTGCTCACTGCAACCTCTGCCCCCCATTCTCCTGCCTCAGCCTCCCAAGTAGCTGGGATTACAGGCATGTGCCACCACACCTGGCTAATTTTGTATTTTTAGTAGAGACAGGGTTTCACCATGTTGGTCAGGCTGGTCTCGAACTCCTGACCTTAGGTGATCCGCCCACCTCAGCTGCACAAAGTGCTGGGATTACAGGCGTGAGCCACCGTGCCTGGCCGGTTTATCTTTTTTTTTTTTGAGATAGAGTCTCGCTCTGTCACCCAGGCTGGAGTGCAGTGGCGCAGTCTTGGCTCACTGCAACCTCTGCCTCCCGGGTTCAAGCGATTCTCCTCCAAGTAGCTGGGACTACAGGCACGAGCCACCATGCCCGGCTAACTTTTTGTATTTTTAGTAGAGGCAGGGCTTCACCGTGTTAGCCAAGATGGTCTCGATCTCTTATAGAGAATATTTCAGCCCAGGTTCCCATTCAGATCTGCTTATGCAAATGAAGGATTCAAGCTTGCTTAGTTCTGATTGGTTGGTGTTTGTTGGGCTCTGATTGGTCAATGGACATCACAGTTTATTGGTTGGTTCAGATGGCATATATATCAACATGTGGCTATGAAAGTACCAAAGTTAAGCAGAAGTGCAGGTTTTCTGGAAACTCAGAGTAGGTGTGTAATGTCTAGTCAGCAAATGGCCACTTGGCTCTAATCTGAATTTAGGCCCATTTAGCCACTCTGGATTCATCTTCAGGGATGATTCATCTTTAGGCTTTTTCAGGGTTCACAAGCGTATTTAATGTATTTTTGACTTAATATTTTCAATGTACAATGGATTTATTGGGTCATAACCCAATCATAAATCAGGGAACATCTGTATATAAAATGAGATGCCACTTATATTTGTTTTAATCTGTAAATAAAACATATAAAGTCTTTTAAAAAAGGGTCTAGGGTTCAGGAAAGAGAATAAATGAAAATTTGCTATCACTGGCTTAAGAATATATTGAAGTTTGGGAATTTGATGGTGTGTGAAGTAGGACTAAATTAAGGAATAACTACTAAAGTAGTTATTCCTTAATTCAACAGACTTGCATTAAATGCTTCTTATATCTAAAGCATTGTGTTAGCACTCAAGTAAAATACAGAGATGAATAAGACTTTAATATTTAAGGCTGTCTGCAGTCCTTTAATAAAGTAACACATTAAGGTACAACTGACTGTATTGAAACATGACACTAATAAAAGCTGATTGTATTAAGAACTATGAGATTTCAACAGTTGAAGAATTTTGAGGAATTCAAAGAAAAGACTTATGACTTCACAAAGACTCAGCATTTGAGCTGGACTTGGAAGTTGAGTAGAGAAGAGGAGGGAGAGAGCTCAAATCTGACTGAGGATGAGTAGATGCGCAGTGGCAGGAAACCTTGAAATCTATTTAGGAAATGGAAAACAGCTGAGTTGACTAGACCATGAGGTTCCCTGGGATGGGAAATGAGGCTGGTTGAGGGGGTTGGAGCGACAAGTACAAAAAAAACTCACATGCTAGCTGAAGGGTCTGTCCTTCCTTATTTCGTGGGCCATGGGGAGCCACTCAGAGTGTCCAAGTATAGTTGTGGCATGCTTAGCATTGTACTTTGGAAGCATTCCTCTGTTGGTGGTTAAGATATTATTAGAGGGAAGAGAGCTGAGGGATATGGAGACCAATGAGGAGGCTATTGGGATAGTCTAGTGGGGAGAGTCATGAAGACTTCAACTAACATGGCAGCAGAGAAGGTAGGAAGAAAGGGGGTTGATGGAAAAGGTATGGCTGGAGCCGAATTTATAGTTAGATCAGTGATGGAATGTGTTGACAGAAGAGGAAATCAGAAAAGACTCTATGGTTTTGAGATTGGGTGCCACTGACAAAATGGAGATGTCAAGAAAGGAAGAGCTAAGCACATAAAAAAAAAAAAAAGGGAGATCAATGGGTGTGAAGCTGAGAAGTGAGAAAATTGGACGTCAAATTTCTACACTGTAGGACTTCTCCGATTTTTGACATAGAATGCATCATCTGGCATTTTCCAGGCTGACCTTAGAAAATTCTCTTTCCTCCTTCCCAAACATTTCTCAGGAGAGTTTGGAAATGTGTTTACAGGCCAGGCCTACAAGTAAGGAGAAAGCCAGGTGCTTTGGATTTTCAGGCTGTCCTCTTTAACAGCGTCAGGCCTACATTAGATCAAGAAAACACCTCACTGTAAGCCTCACGCCCAGGACGCTGAGTTCTGGAACCCAGATCAGCCTGCATTTGTCCATGTCTTCTAGCTGCTATTCTAGGCCTTATTTCATCATGCCTTGGATCTATAGCATCTGAGGAGTACAGTATCCTCTTTGAAAGGAAGTGAGTGAGAATTTCACACTCGTGCCTGAAGGGCTGGGAATTTACTGAGAAAATTTGAATTTTCTTAAGCACACTGAAGGCCTGAAAGAGGTGGAGGCTTGGCTACTGCTCTTGTTTAGGCATTGTTCCCTTTAGAACAGGGCCCTTGGGTTTTGGGTTTTGAAACATCATGTATGTTATTTAACACCAGATCATCTAAACTGACTCATCTCTAGGTCGGCTGCAAGCTGTCCAAGTGATTTAAGGATGTGATTCCAGTTAAATCGAAGCCTCCCTTTACCAGAAAGTCATCCCTGTGATTTAAAAAAAATGTGGTAAAATAAAATATATACAACATCAAATGTACCATGTAAACCATGTTTAGGTGTACATTTCGTGGCATTAAGTACATTCACAATGTTGTGCAGCCATCAACACCATCCATCTCTAGGACTCTTTTCATCTTGCAAAATTGGAACTCTATACTAATTAACAATAATTCCCCATTTCCTACTCCTCCCAGCCCTGGCAACTACCATTCTATTTTTTTTTTTTTTTTTTTTGAGATGGAGTCTCACTCTGTCACCCAGGCTGGAGTGCAGTGGCACGATTTCGGCTCACTGCAACCTCCGCCTCCTGGGTTCAAGCGATTCTCTTGCCTCAGCCTCCCGAGTAGCTGGGATTACAGGCGCCCGCCACTACACCCGGCTAATTTTTGTACTTTTAGTAGAGATGGGGTTTCACCATGTTGGCCAGGCTGGTCTTGAACTCCTGACCTCATGATTTGTCTGCCTCAGACTCCCAAAGTGCTGGGATTACAGGTGTGAGCCGCTGTGCCCAGCCTACGATTCTATTGTCTATGAATCTGATCACCCTAGGTATCTCATATAAGTGGAGCCACACAATATTTGTTCTTTTGTGTCTGCCTTATTTCACTTAGCATATTGTCTTCAAGGCTTATCTATGCTGTAGCATGTGTCAGAATTTCCTTCCTTTTTTAAGGCTGAATAATATTCCATTGTAGAGATATACCACATTTTATTTATTCACCCACCTGTCCATAGACATTTGGCTTGCTTCTATCTCCCTGTAACCTTAAGTTCTTTAAGTACTTCCTGCCACACAAGTTGGAGATGCCTTTTGGATGTGTTTTAATTATGTTTAAGTTATTAATAGAAAATTGGAAACCATCTTACTAACTCAAGATGTGAAATTGGATCCATCAAACTTTAGAGAAAAAACCACTTTTTAATCTCCATTTGAAGTGGATTTGAATAGAAGCAGTTGTGTACTTGACTGGAAGTCGTGGTCCCAGAAGCTAACCAGTGATTCCTGGCAGGAGAAGTAAATGCCTTTTAGTTCAGGAAGGGAAAAGGGTTGTCTTACCAGGAAGCAGTTCAACATTGGGGCCCTTTGTGCTTCCCAGGTCCTGGCAAGGCCTTGGGCATTTGGAGAGAGAGGTGGAAAAGTCAGTAGGTTGGTTGGAAATCCAGTCTCAGACTCATGCAGGAACGTGGGTGTTTCCCAGGAACATGCTACTTTGGGAGCTGCTTCCTGGTTTAGTTTTGAGTGGGAGAGAAGAACAGATTAGAAGCGAAGAGCAGATTGGTGGACTGGAGGGAGATGGAAACCAGAGTCCTTTCCTCAGCCCACCTTCCCACACCAACCTTCTTTCCTCTTTCCCAGCGGAATCTGGCTCAGAGAAAACAAAACAAATTTGAGCTATTAGGTGTGGCATATTTTCAAGGCTAGTTGGGAAGTAGCCACTTGATGAGGTTTGTTTTGTTTTGTTTTGTTTTGTTTTTTTCTTTTTTCCGTCTTGCCAGCCTCACAGGGAACCAGATTTTTTTTTTTTTTTTTTTTTTTTGAGACGGAGTCTCGCTCTGTCTCCCAGGCTGGAGTGCAGTGGCGCAGTGGTGTGATCTCAGCTCACTGCAACTTCCGCCTCCTGGGTTCAAGCGATTCCCCTGCCCCAGCCTCCCGAGTAGCTGGGATTACAGGCGCATGCCACCACGCCCGGCTAATTTTTTTGTATTTTTAGTAGAGACGGGTTTTCACCGTATTAGCCAGGATGGTCTCGATCTCCTGACCGCGTGATCCGCCCACCTCGGCCTCCCAAAGTGCTGGAATTACAGGAGTGAGCCACCGCGCCTGGCCGGAAAACACAATTATATTCAGTATTTGCATGGGGATACCCATGAACTACTAGCTTGAGGTGTTCATAGATTCAGAATTAGATCGTGCTCCATTCCTTTCAATGATAACATTTCTTTTCGAAGCTGGGATTTTGGTAGTTGCCGTGATAAAAATTGAGTACTGCATGAAAATCAGGGTGGAATAGAAAATCAGGGTAGCAGTCAGTGTTCAATCTTATTCCAGAGTTTAAGAAATTTCCAAAATGACCAATGGGTTTACACATTCAATTAATAAGTAATTGTGTTTAGTTAAGAATGGAATAAAAATGTTTTTTCAATGTGTGTGTATTAACTTTTCAAATGGCTACTCAACTGTTAGGACATAAATGCTTTTTAAGTCGTTTGGACTTCACCACTTAACAAATGGAGCTGTTAGGTATTTCTTTCCTCCCTGGGGTACCATGAAAAATTACCAAGACACTAAGGGCACTGTGTACCAAGAGAATTTGGGAATCTCTGCTTTAATCTGTCAGAAAATACCCTAAATTGTATATTTGCTTTTAAATACATTAAACATGGAATTGGAGATGAGATGGCAAGAAAAAGAAAATAAATATTTTGCCATAAAGTGAAGGTATTTCTAAAGTAAATACCTTTATTTTTCTGATTATAAAATTAGTATGTATAGGTTATTTTTAAAAATCCAGAAAGGTGCAAAACGGAAATTAAAACCTCCATATTCCCAACTCCCTGAGATATAACAGCTGCCAACTTCCAGGCTCCTCTTCCAGGCTCCTCTTCCAGGCTTTTTTCTGTATGTATTTAAGACAGGTATTTTACAAAAATTGAATCATATATATTCTACTATTTATTGTTTTTTTAAAATTAACTATATAACAGTCATTTTCTCGTGTTAACGTGTATATATTTGTAATCATACATAAGGCTTATACATTTACTTTAAGCAGACTTACACTTTCAAGGGAGAAAAACCTCTCAATTCTAAAACCTTTATTACTAATTGTAGGAGGATTCTACTATTAAGAGTAGCTCAACTGTGCCCCCTTGTGGCTTGATGCAATATTTAACATTTTTCTTCAAATGTATTTGTGTAAAAGCCTTGTATTATGTATGACATGAAGGATATAAAGATGAATGAAAATAAGATCTACGCTAGGAGCTCATAGTCTACCAGGGGAGATTAGACATATAATTAAATAACTATGACAGGAAATAAAAAGTATTTGGGAGGCCGAGGCGGGTGGATCACCTGAGGTCAGGAGTTCTAGACCAGCCTGGCCAACATGGTGAAACCCTGTCTCTACTAAAAGTACAAAAAAAAAAAAAAAAAAAAAAAAAAAATTAGCCGGGCATGGTGGCGCATGCCTGTAATCCCAGCTACTCGGGAGGCTGAAGCAGAATTGCTTGAGCCCGGGAGATGGAGGTTGCAGTGAGCCGAGATTGCGCCACTGCACTCCAGTCCAGGTGACAAAGCAAGAGTCTGTCTCAAAAAAAAAAAAAAAAAAAAAAAGAAAAGAAAAGAAAAAGTAATTAGGTATCATAAGAAAGCTATTGTTAAAATCCCATAATCCATCTGTGAAGATTAAAGACTTCATGACACATTCACCACAGAGGCAGCAACAACGATAACAGAGAACATTTACTGAGTGCTTATGATCCAGGAACTACTTTTTTTTTTTTTTTTTTTTTTTTGAGACGGAGTCTTGCTCTGTCGCCCAGGCTGGAGTGCAGTGGTGTAGTCTCGGCTCACTGCAGCCTCTGCCTCTCGGGCTCAAGCACTTCTCCTGCCTCAGCCTCCTGAGTAGCTGAGATTACAAGTGCATGCCACCATACCTGGCTAATTTTTGTATGTTTTTAGTAGAGACGGGGTTTCACCATGTTGGTCAGGCTGATCTCGAATTCCTGACCTTGTGATCCGCCTGCCTCAGCCTTCCAAAGTGCTGGGATTACAGGCATGAGCCACCGCGCCTGGCCCAGGAACTACTTTTTTGCGTTTTTCATGTTTCATTTTTTCAAAGATGGGATATTTCTGATCTAGGGCTTTAAACATGGATACGAATCCCAGGCTAAGGAATGTGACCGTAATTCTGTTGACAGGCGTGAGAACCAGTGATTCACATTTTTGATGGGGAGGTAATTTGATCAGAGCTGGAGAGATTAACCTTTCAGCAATGTGAAGGATGAGAGACTCAGAGCAGAGGGACCAGTTAGGAGGCTACTGCAATGGTCCAAATAGGATCTAATGCCACTCTGAAGAGGTACCACAGAAAATGGAGAGGAGGGAATGAACTTGGGCTTTAATAGGACGCCAGCAATGACAGAATCTCTTTCTTGAGTTTCACATTTTATTCTTGTAAAGCCACAGTAACATTTGGTGAGCTTTGAATGGAAGTGTTCATACTCAGTGGACTTGCTTTATAAGAACTAAGATTGATTCACTCGTGTTCACATGCTGATTTTCCCCCGCTCTTCTCTAAGAAAATAGTTTAAGGACACCAGCTAGACCATACTGTTTGGTCTCAGCTTTGGTAATTTTGCCAGAGACCAAGTCCTGTGTTAGGGCACACTATTCCTAGCTATTCTCTAAATCTGCCATGGTAGCATGGTGTTTGGAGAATGGCGTTACAATATGTTTCTTTTTTTTACCATTGGATAAAAAACCAGAGGAAATTTACTGAATTGGGGCAAACAGGATTTGGATTAGACCTGAAGAACTGATTTCGAGGGTGAGAGACACTGGCACTGTATGATCAAGGGGGCTTCAGCATGCTGTTTTATGGCCATTTTATTTTATTTATTTATTTAGAGACAGGGTCTCCCTCCCTTGCCCAGGCTGGAGTGCAATGGTGTGATCATGGCTCACTGCAGTCTTGAACTTATGGGCTCAAGAGATCCTCCTGCCTCAGCTTCCCAAGTAGCTGGGATTACTGGCTTTTGCCACCATGCCCAGCTAATTTTTTTTTCTTTTTTGGTGCCCAGGCTGAAGTGCAGTGGCACTATTGTGGCTCACTGCAACCTCCGCCTCCCAGGTTCAAGTGATTCTCCTGCTTCAGCCTCCTGAGTAGTTGGGACTACAGACATGCACCACCATGCCTGGCTAATTTTTTTTGTATTTTTAGTAGAGATAGGTATTCACCATGTTAGCCAGGCTGGTCTCAAACTCCTGACCTCAGGTGATCTGCCTGCCTTGGCCTCCCGAAGTGCTGGGATTACAGGTGTGAGCCACTGTGCCCGGCCAACCCAGCTAGTTTTTAATTTTAATTTTATTTATTTATTTATTTATTTATTTTTCTTTTTTGTAGAGACGAGGTCTTGCTATTTTGCCTAGGCTGGTCTTGAACTCCTACTCTCAAGCAGTCCTCCCACCTTGACCTCCCAAAGTACTGGGAGTATAGGCATGAGCCACTGTGCCCAGCCTGTGGCTATTTTAAAAGATGAGATAGTTCATTGACATGATTGGAATTTAGTTTGTCTTCCAAAACAATCAAAATTTAATCTAATTTATGAATACTTATAAAAGAAATCCTGCCTTTAATATTATAAGCACCTACAGCAGTGATTATCAAAACAAGATCTGCAGTTCACTGGTGAGCCATCAGAATATTCTTGATGGGCTCGAGCCTATCCCTAAAATATATAGGGTATTATTTTTATAATAAAAGTTGGGTGTGTAAGCTTGCATTTGTCTCTGATAAAGCTAGTACGAAATGGTTCAGTTGTCTTCCTCTCAGTTCTTTGTTACCTCCAGCTTTGTTACTCCAGTTGTTACCTCCAGCTTTGTTACCCCAGTTCTTTGTTACCTTCCATGCCTATGTGACCATGTCACATAGGGGCACAGATGTGGAGAGAAGTGGTTACATTGATCTCTTTTTGTGCATTTCCCCAGTAACTAGTGAACTTCTTTGCACTTTAAAGGTCCTCTTAAATATTGTTCCTTGAGAAACTATCTTGAGTTCTAACACCTTTTAAACATAAGTAAATTGAATGGGGAAAATTAAGTGAGGCATTTCTAGGGCATCCAGGACGTAGAATTGAAGAGGATTTACATGGCTTTCTCTTTCTCTGAATGTTAGAGAATATGCTTTTGCTCCTGGGCAAAGAGGTGTGACTGAATATAATATATAATGCTGTTCCTGAGTTTTGGATCACTAATTAACATGCTTGAGCTATTTCAAACTTTACTGGAATCATAATTCAAAACTGATTTGTCATTGGTATAGAGCAGTATCATATTTCAAACACTATTAGATTAGAATTATGTACTTTATCACTTTTTAACCGTTTAAATTACATTTGTGTTAATAGGATCTGTGTTTTAACATCAACAGGCGGATGGTTGGATTGCATGGTTCATGTCTAGTTGAGTTTTTATGGCTAATTGGGCACATATGTACTAAAAACCCCTCTAGAAATGAAGGATTTTACTAAAAATGAGCAGATTTTTATAACAGGCAGCTTATTTTCATCTACTTAAGTAGCCTTTTAAACATGAACCATTTTTCAGTACAACTGTATCTTAATGTGTTAACTTTTTTTTTTAACACAGATTTCTTTCACTAGCTTAATGGGAATTCACAGAAATCATAGCCTTTTAATTGAAGCCAATATGTTTCAGTGCCAGATATTCTGAAGAATTCCAATGAACCAAAAAAGAACACATTTCTGAACTGGAAGGGTGCATATGGGACCCTTCAGAAGCCTGACAGAAATGCCTGATGGAAGGCTTTGAAACTGGAAAAATATTAATAAAGAGAACATTAGTGTGGTTTTCAGAATAGCTTAAATAATGTGTGTCGTGAAATCATTTTCTATACCAAAGGATGGATGGATTGAAAAATTGAGACTCTTGCCTAGTCTTGATGCTATAAAGTCTAAATTGGACTTCAGTCCATTTGAAATAATAAAGATAATCTATGATAGTTGTATTTATTGAACCCAAAACTAATATGAGTGACCGTATTTTCTTTTTCTTTTCTTTTCTTTTCTTTTCTTTTTTTTTTGAGATTGAGTTTCACTCGGTCATCAGGCTGGAGTGCAATGGCACCATCTCGGCTCACTGCAACCTCCGCCTCCCAAGTTCAAGCGATTCTACTGCCTCAGCCTCCTGAGTAGCTGGGACTACGGGCATCCGCCACCATGCCCAGCTACTTTTTGTATTTTTAGTAGAGATAGGGTTTCACCATGTTAGCCAGGCTGGTCTCAAACTCCTGACCTCAAGTGATCTGCCCACCTCGGCCTCCCAAAGTGCTGGGATTACAAATGTTAGCCACCGCACTGGGCGGAGTGACTGTATTTTCAAAATTAGTACAAGTGATCTGACAAGGAAAATCTGGAAGACAAGGGAACACAATATTAGAAATTGAATGAATCCTTGAAAGTGTGGGATGTAGAGCCATTGTAATGGCAGATACAAGGAAGTCGCAGATTCATTTTGTTATGGTTTGGCCAAACAGAAACAGTCTGGGACCAACAGATGATTTAAGTTTTAATCATTGCCCTGCACTTATCTAGCTGTGGGACTACGCAAGTCACTTACCCTTGACGTGTTTCTGTTTCTCAGATTTAAAACGGTGATTATATGTACCTTGGCCATCTTATGAGGTTGTTGTTAGGACCCTAATGAGCTATGGGATATGAAAGTTTCTTGTTATACCAGTGGAGTTATTTCTGTGGTTCTGAATAATAATGGCCAGAGACCATGCTTTATTCTCTATTGCCTCACCCAAGTGCTTAGCACCTGCCTGTATAAGGAAAGGCTCGTGGACAGTGTGCATGAATGAATGAGTGACTGGTTCTCTTTGCTTTAGTTTTATTTTCTCCCTCAGAGGCTTGGGCCAAAAAATAAAACTAAACATGTGGTTTGGGATTCTTCAGAGTTTTACACAGGTGCCTGTACTGGTACCCATCCAAGTCTGAGCCACATGCATAAACATGAACATATTCTGATAGACATCCTAGTATTACATGTGTACAGGCTGTTTGGTGGGATTTTTCCTATGGTATTGGATTTGGCAACTAGAGCCTCAGCTGCAAATGCAACATTTTAAAGAAAGTCAATGACAGTTGTGGCCTCCTCCCCTTCCCTTCTTCACTCCCCTACCTGCCAGTCTACTATAGGGCAGCCCACTCAGGCCTCCTACCTCCAGCTGTTGACTCAGCCGCCTTTTACCCTGAAGGCCTTTTGCAAAGGTGCTGGTGGGAGGCAAAGAGGGAGAGAGTTCTCTTGGTTGCACCCTTTCAGGGGAATAGTGTTCATGGTTTTCTTCTCTTTCCAAAGGGAGGGAATGACAATGGGCAGGGGAATTCCTGCAACAGATTAAATGAGGGAAGATATTTCTTCTTACTTGCAAGAAAGGAAAACTGGCTTTAGGTTTCCCTGTTGGACATGTGCTTGGTCGGAGGGCTTGTAGATCTGTCCCTTGGCCTCCTGGTGCAGAGAAGAGAACTGGAGACAGATGGCAAGGTGCAGAGAGGGCCAGCCCTGGGGCAGCCTCCACAGCACTGGTTGATGTGGTAAGGATGCCTGAGTGTGTCACGGTCAGGAGCATGCTGGTGCAGAGCTCTCAGGTTTGAGTCTCCTGCTGGTTCTCCCACTCAAGGGGGTGACCCATGCGGTGAAGATGTACCCCAAAGAGTCACACTTCCAGCTCCAGTGCCCTGCCAGGGAGAGAGGGGATGAGACTTAAACTGAGTCATGATTGACAAAAACTGAACTAACTAGCAGTAAGTGACAGTGACCAAGAAGTGATGGAACTTGCCCGAGATCCCCTACTCAAGGAGGGAAGGGAGATTTGACAGCACATAGCTAAAAGCAGTGATGAGAAGATCAAAACATAGAAAACAAAGCAAAACCCTGTTTCATGCCTGTAAGGCACTAAGCAGAAACTCTTCCATAAAGTGATTATGCTGATTAGAAACTGCCTTCATGTGGTTTGACTCCAGCCTACTTAAGCACTGAAGCCATAGTCTGAGCAGAAAAGACCTTAGTGAGAATTCCTTCAGACTAGTAGATTTCAGATGCTATTCCAGGAAGTCTAGGGTGGGCAAGGCAGCCCACAGAGGTTGCTCAGGACTTCCTGGGGGAAGGAAAAGAATGAGGTTTAGGTGGTGGCTTGTGGAGGAAGGTAGAATGCAGAGGACATAGGACTTCTGGTCTCCCTCCCTTTATCCAGAAGTAAATTTGTTTTTACCTGCTTTTATATATCAGGCTTCCTTGTGAGATGACTCTTGGACAAAAAAGGCTTCCTCATAATCCATCCCCTTTATTTCTGAGATAAATAAACTGAGGTTTAGCCTGGGGAAGTGACAAGCCACAGACCACAGAACCTTGAGTGGCAGGGTCAGGACCCAGGTCATTTGGTTCTGCATCCCGTCCCACACAGGAGGGTAGAGTTAGCCTCATGAATTCAAGGTGCATTTATTGAGCACCTACTAGGTAGAGTCACACAATGTTTTTTTTTTTTCTCTTTTTCCTAAAAGATTAATGCAGTTATTGCATCCATTTGGTGCCTTTACTGCCGGAAAAATAACAGCCAGCAGGGGCTTTCTAGGGTTACCATGGTAAGAGATCTCTGCAAGTCAAACACTATTAACTTTAATGAAGCGGCTTTGATGGTGGGGAAGAGACAGCTGACACCCTATTTCCCTAACAATAAACCACTCTGACAGATAAAAACAAACAGGCTCAAGATAACATATAGCATTTTGGAGAACTGGGCCTGTAATGAATGCAGACGGATGTGAGCCATACTTTCCTCTAAAGCTGTGTTTCTCCATCTGTTGTGGAAACTTCTAAAAGGCAGACCAGGATGACCTAATCTGGCTTTTACAGAAACCACCCCTTGGTGGTTATAATATAACCACCAACCAATAAAAAAGATTATAATTATTATAAGGATGGCCTGGGGAGGAATTTTTAAATAAACCTAGTTCATCTGAGGTTTCTTTCTGAAGACCCTCTTTGCTCTGCGTTACCTGTGGGGTCTGAGCGCTGATGGTTTGTTTATCCAATTCTGGAAACCCAGGTAATACACTCCTCCGCCTTCCCTGTCATGGGGTGACCTAACCTGCTGATATCCCTGCTATGGGGAGAGCTTCTCAGCCCCCAGAAACGATCCTGTGATCACTTATCATTGCACATGGAGCTGCCAGGGCTTCTTCCATCTTGGCAAATCCAATGGATAACTTGGCCTACAACAAAATACAAACATAATTCCCCAGGGTTAGACTAGGTTTGGCGCTAAAGCCTATTGGAGGCCATGGAGATGGAAATGGTGTGCAATTTGGGGGCTCTGACATAATTTGGTCATTAGTCATTAGACTCAGATTTCAGTTTCACTATGAGGAGTGACAAATATTAGCTTAAAAAATGTTTATTTCAGTTCTTCGCCAGGCTGTGTCACTTAATGAAACACCCCACGTTATGTCCTTTCATTGGGGGCTATTTTTGTGTATGAGGTAGGAGAAGGATCATTATAATTGCACTTTTGATTTTTTAAGTCATTTTTTACATGTATTTTCTCATTTGACCTTCACAACCTCCCCACTGAGGTAGTTTTTTCTGTAGTCCCATTGATTTGACTGGGATCATGTAGGAGTAAATGTCAGAGCCAGGAGTGAATGGATTTCAAGGCTTATTCCACTCTGATGAAAAGCTCTGAGAGTTCTCCAATGCTCTTTCCTCAGGAGTATCTTTCCACTACTAAAGCAATTAGCAAGTTGCACAATATATCTGCTTTCATAAAGATTATAATTATAATTATTATATAATCATATTATATAATACATATAATATAAAAATATATAATATATATGTATATGGGCGTTGCCTATTATAACTATGTAGTTATGCAAATACTTAGTTTTATCTTCACAATTTACATCAGTTCTAATGGTAGTCTTATGTTCTTCAGGTTACAGATGTGGAAATTGAGGCTGAGAGACATTAAATAACTTTTCCAAGGTCACACAGCTGGTAACTGGCTGGCTGTCAGCCTGTGCTTGTCCTATTGTGCCACATCCTACTTGGGTTTCATTATGAAAATGTGGTCAAAGGTGAATAGCAGGAGGGACAGGGGCCCTGAATTGACCAAACTATACATTATCACTACTACTACTACTACTAAAAACAATAATAACAGTAATTACCATACCTGCCAGACCCTATGCTCATATTTATGCAGATCATCTCATTCACTTTGACAGCGACCCTACCAGGTAAGGAGAGAGGGGTTCTCACGCCAGCTCCATTGCCAACTTATGGTGTGGTTTAGGAACAGCTGCTTGATTCTTCTAGGCCTCAGTTTCCTTGCCTGCAATATGGTGAGAATAACGTCTCCTTCACAAGGAGGTTGTAAAGATGAATGTGATAATGCATACAAAGCTCCTGGCACAGTGCCTGGTCTACAGGGAGGACTCCGTGAAATTATTATTATGATGAGGTGGCATTATTGCTCTGAAACTGAGGCCAAGAGAGGTTAGGTCACATGGCCGAGACCACATAGAAAATGGAGAAACTGGACTCACTCTGATCCCTCTGACCTGAAAGGCCAAGCTTTTTGCCTCTGTGTGCTTTTGGCACAACAGAGCCTCCCCTCACCCATCATTGTGTCTACCCCTGGATTCTTGGTTCTTAGCTTTGCATGGAAAAATTTCCTCCCTCTTTCATTATTTGGTCATGAAAAGAAATGGTATGTTAAAAGCACATAGCTTTGCCCTGGATACGCCCCCTCCCCTGCAATGTAGAGATGACTTAAAACTGGGAGAGAAGCAGTTTCCATTCATGACCGAGTAGAGATTCAGCATGGTCTTACCAGACTGGAGCACTGCACTGAGACATCCAAGAAGAAAAAGATCAAAATCTTCTTAAACAGCAAACATTCTGTTGGGGGTGATGAAGGCCTGTTTTAAGGATAGCTCTTGTGAGAAAGGTCTGGGAATTTTAAGTGTCCACAAGCTTAAGATGAGCCAGCCATGTCATGGGGCATGGCTGCAAAAGTGGTAGATGCAATCCTAGACATCATTTTGGATCATGGATTGTCCTGGGATCCCTAAGGGAATTTAGGAATGGTGTAGCTGCTTTGCTATTTTACAGATGAAGAAGCTGAGCATCTTTTTATGAGGTCACAAGATGAGTATGGAGTCATTTTTAGGTGATGGGCAGAATGGACTTGCTTATACTGAGGCCATAGCCCTTTGTGTCCTAATCTTCGGTGGGAAAGCTGGCCACCCCAGGAGATGGCAGCCTCCTCCCCCCGGAGATTTGCAGTTGCAGACTGAAAAGTAACCGGCACTCAGGGCTTTACAAAGACTACCTCATTATCTCAGTCCAGCCTCTTAGTGATTCATCAGAGACTTAATCCTACTCTCTCCTTTTAACAGGTTAGGAAACAGGCTTAGAGCAGTTCATCAGAGGCTGCCTGGATGAACTTTTTTTTTTTGAGACGGAGTCTCGCTCTGTCGCCCAGGCTGGAGTGCAGTGGCGCCATCTTGGCTCATTGCAACCTCCACCTCCCAGATTCAAGCGATTCTCCTGCCTCAGCCTCCCAAGTAGCTGGGACTACAGGTGCCTGCCACCATGCCCGGCTAATTTTTGTATTTTTAGTAGAGACGGGGTTTCACCATATTGGTCAGGCTGGTCTTGAACTCCTGATCTCATTATCTGCCTGCCTTGGCCTCCCAAAGTGCTAGGATTACAGGCGTGAGCCACTGTGTCTGGCCTCGATGAACATTTTAATCATAGGTGGCCTAAAACTCTAACTCCAAGTTTAAAAGAAAGGAGAAAATTCCCATTGCCCCTTCCCACACCCTTAGCTGAGATCAGATTTCTCTCTGCTAGACACGCTGGGAGGACTTGGGTTAATGAGGACCCTTACTGCAGGGATGGGTGATGGTTGGTAATTAGCAATGGCCCTGGAGGTCAAGGTCCCCAGGCAGGGCCAGGGACAGTGAAAGGACTCAGGGCCCCAGGAACACACTCCCTAATTTTCCAGCATGAGAATGCTCTTAGAGGCCAGAGGGATTAGGTTTTGTGGGAGCCAAAGGAGGCAGCCCAGGACTGATGCCGAGGGGCCCACTCAGATTTCTCCCAGCCACATTTTCTCTGCACCACTGCAGCCGCCAGGATGCTGCCTGCAACCGTGACTCTGGCGGCTGCAGGCCAACAGCCCTACAGATGACAGAGGACACTGGGAGTTCTAAATGCGGGCCACACAGGAGGGATGCTTTTGCCACGGAGTTGATGGTCCTGATTTCCTGTCCTTTCTCACCCAACATTTTTATATGCAGATGAACCACAGTAAAAGGAACATCAGGGGTGTGGAGAAGGTGGGAAAGATTGCAGGAGAAGCAGCCTCAGGTATGTGAAGGGAGTGAGCCCTGTCTACCTAGGGGAAGCCCCTCCCCAGGGGCGGGTGCTGGGGCTGATTCCATGTCTCATAGCCTCTGCTTCTCTTGATCCCTTTCTGCATGGAGGACCCCACTCTGGGCTGCCCTTTGTCAGGCAGTGATTGTGCCCCTGGCTGCCATAGCCTTGGTTTCCTTCGCCTAAGAGGATGACAGAGTTCTTGGCTGTTGCGCTTTATGTGGACGTTGGCCTAGGGGATACAGTCACCGTCTTTCTTGTGATGACTCCTGGTGGTGGCTGCGATGACTCCTGGGCTGGTTGAGCAATTTTTAATTTCAAAACATCACAAAGCTCTGCCCTCTAGTGGTTCTTTGGGAAACATTCATATTCCCTGTGCGGGGTGCGGGTAGGAAGAGAACTTTTAATGCAAACTGGGTTGAAACAGAACAGCCAGAGAGCAGGATGACTTAGAGAGAGCTGAATCCTGTGTTCGTGAATCCGTGAATTCACAGCCGAACATCCCTTTCTGTCTCAATCGCCTCTTCCTGGCCATTGATAAGCTTGAGAACTGTCCGGTCCAATTTAGACTATTTTAATTAAAAAAATGAAACAACACATCCCTAAAAACAAAATTCAGTTTGGATTCCTTGCTTTTGCTCAGTGCAGTGCCTCTAAAGCCCTTTAACTTGTAACTGTTGTTTGTTCACATTACTGATAACACAGTTGATTCATGGATTGCATCAACCTGCCTCTTTATTTTCCTTATGAAACATCCCTTCGGCATTCCTCATCCCTTATAAAAGTATTCCTACTTTCTCGCTTGTTGATAAGAAAACGCCTTTAGTAACATACCCACCTCAATATTTGACTTTTTCCATTTCTTCAAAGTGAAGACAGATCTTAATTTAATATGGCAAGATGAACTGTGTGCTCCCTTCCTCAAGTTTTTAACTTTACCCTTAAGTTGACTCTTGCCTACTCAGTGACCTCGCACCCTAATTTTTCCGTTTACTTCCTGTACTGCATTTGAAGTGCCTATAAATCACATCTTAGGTCAACCCTTTCCTTAACATGAATAATATTTGTATTCTCGCTGTGCAATACAATTTTACAACAATGCCAATTAATTTTTTTGGCAGCCCAGACTTTCATTCTTTTTTTTCCTCTTCTTTTTCTTTTTCAAAGCCCTATTACATTGCAAGCCTGTCTTTTAGTGTTTGCAGTGATGGCTGCTTTGAAGCACAAACTTTGCATTTTTCGAGGCATATCTGGAAAATGTCACATGTGATGTTCTAGGTGGGCTGACCCAGTTTGCTGTGGGTTCACCCAGTTTGCTGTGGGTTCAGAGCAGAACTGGGCCCAGTCAGGGGCCGGGATGTGGCAGCAGAACCAGAAGGAGGGATTGGTGAGACAGAGACCATGCTAACTAGATTCTCAGCTGCTACTTGGGTTGGCCACTAACAGACTTACTGCCCCCTCGCCCCACCCCACCACATAGGACCCTCCTTTAATTAAAATAACACACTTTGATGATCTTGTATTCATTGGTTTGTTTCCAGAAGCTATCAAGTTGCATGTTGAAAAGCCAGTGAGGCAGAAAGAAGATCCACTGACTTCATCTCCCAAGCCAGGAGGGAGGGGAAATTCAGCATTTGGCATCGACAGGGTAAAAACAGATAGATTTTTTATTTCAATCATATCCTCTGAGAGTTTAGCTTCTTATGATAAGCTCTGGCCAGTTCCGATCATACCATTCTTTCCCCTTGTGAAAAATCATTCAACTGTAGTTTGTATGCATCATTTGCTGGTGTCCTTGTGAGCTCTGTGTGTGTTGAATGTTCTCAGTTGGAGGCCTTGGAATTCCACTTATTTGTGTCCTTACATGTCACAAAATTCATCCAGCACTTGCCTGGGCAGTCAGCATTATTCACAAGTTTATGGGAGCTCATAACTTCAAAGCATCGTACCACTCATGAAATGGTGAGGGTGTGGCCCAATTTGCTTTTTGGGTAGGTGTAGGAGAATGACTGAAGGAAGTCCCTGCAGTCAGATGGCTTCCCGGTGTGGCCATGGGCACGTTACATATCCTTTCTAAGCCTTGTTTTTTGTTTTTGTTTTTTTTTTACATCTGCAAAATGGGAATAAGAACAACATAGGGTGAGGATTAAATGAGGTGAGGTAATCCTAGCACTTTGGGAGGCTGAAGTGGGCAGATCACGAGGTCAGGAGTTCAAGACCAGCCCGGCCAATATGGTGAAACCCTGTCTCTATTAAAAATACAAAAATTAGTTGGACGTGGTGGTGGGTGCCTGTAATCCCAGCTACTTGGGAAGCTGAGGCAGGAGAATCACTTGAACCTGGGAGGCAGAGGTTGCAGTGCGCTGAGATTGCACCATCGCACTCCAAACTGGCGACAGAGCAAGACTCCGTCTAAAAATAGAAAAAAAATAAATAGAAATGGATACTAAGCTTGGACCCCTAATTCATATGTATTAGTTCGGTGACTCTGGAAACTCCATATAACCACCTGTGCTCCCCCTTGGGGTTATTGTAAGGCTTATAGAAGATATAGGATGTGCCATGCTTGGCACATAGAACTCTTTAACCAATGTTGGCTGATTCCAGGTCTCCAGCCTTCCCAAGATGACCTACTGGGTATTGGCTCCAGTAGGCATTTCAGCTGTAGTTTACTTGATGTGACTCAGACGTAAAGAAAAGGAGATCCCTTAGATCAACAGCCTCCAAGTTAAAAACAACAATTTAACGCTTCCTTTCAGACACTTCAAAAAGCCAGGCACCTTTGGCTCCATTATTTAAAATATTAAGTTAACTGAAACAAAAATTGCTGTTCTGTTAAAATTAAATGAATGCACATATTGTTATGAAACAATGAATTAAAGTTTCTCCTAATCATTCCCTTGTAGAACAAACTCCCTGATTGGGAAATGGTACACAGTGCCACAAAAGTTCTTCGGGACGCCAAGTGCTCTGAATGTTAACAGCCTGGCTGGAAAGATGCCATCGCGGTGTACTTTCCCCTGCCTCTTATTCTCCTGGTTTGTACCATGCATCTTATGCTCCTTGGTTCGTTCCTAGCATACTTCTGGGCAGAATTACTGCTCGAGTGCCCCAGAGGCCTTTTTTCTTTTGTAAACAAAGTCTTAAGCCTGCTGATTATATATTATTATATATAATGTATTATTATATATAATCAGTGCTTTCTGGAGGCTGGAGAGGTGAGAGCAGGGGCTGCCACGGCATGGCAGCGATATGAAAACTTTCTGCTCTGCTCAGACCTGGGGGCCTGCCTGCTCCATGGGCAGGTCCGTGAGAAATAGTGACACCAGCTCTCAGCGTGAGCAGTCTGTTTTCTGCTTACATACACACACTTGATTTATAATCACAGTCCGGACAGCATCTGAGTCTAATTACCTAGGTATATGAAAGTTCAGGAGATCTCAACTAAGTTAGCAATTCAGGGATGCGCTTTACCAGAAGCAGATGGAAAAAATAAAACACTTTAGTTTATGACTATTTTTCTATACGGGGGAAGGAGAGAGAACAAAAAGAGTTGCCAAATTGATCGTTGTCAAGCACTAATTAAATATTATTCATGATTAATTCTGATGTTGATGTATTCAACATTTTAGCCATGTCATAAATATCTCAAAGAATGGAATGACTCACTTTGTGTAGCTATAATAAATCATGCATACAGCAGTCCCCACGTGGCCTCCTGAGCTAGCCTCTTATTATTATTACTATTTAATACACAAACTTGTTTTTTACTTTTCTGGAATGTTATTAGGGAGGTGAGGAAATAACTTCCTAATCATGCTTTGCTGTTGCCATTTCATCCAATTAAAAACAAATGCTTTAAAAATTATAAAAAATTAAGTTTCTATTATTTGTAGATAAACACTGATATATTTATAGATGAAATGACATGATATCTGGGACCTGCTTAAACAACATCCAGATTGGCTGAGAGAGGGGTCAATAGGTGGGGACATAGATGAGACAAGGTTAGCCATGAATTGATAATTCTTGAAGTTTGTCGATGAGTCCTTGGGAGTTCATTACAATAGTGTCTATTTTTGTATATTTTTGGCATTTTCTGTAATAAAAGATTTAAATGATATTTCCTTGAGAAGGAGCTCAAGTTTATTCCTTAAGAAAAATTATGGTAATCAGTTTTGCATGTAAGCATATAAGTTACAAATCATGGGTTAGAACAAGTTAATCCAGTTTGGGATTGACAGACTAATGATGATGATGAAAATTCCAATAGTCTTCTACTAAACTGAATATCAACAGTATGCCAGATACTCTATTATACTAGGTGCTTTTACATACTTATTTTATCCTGAAGATGCTCATTGTGGCAGACACTGATAATCGATTGTGGCACTCTCCCACACCTTCTCAGAATCCCACTCAACTTAGTGCCCAAGACAGCTCAACTGGATCATAGTTGGCATTCATATGGAAGCCTATTCATCATGTCTCATCCATCTCACCACCGTAACAGATGAGAAAGTGAGGCCTAGAGGGAATCAGGACTCAGTCAAGATCACACAGCTAATGGGTGACAAAGTACTCATTCCTACTGATATAAGTCCAGGGCTCTTTCAATCTCAATAGCTAAGGCTCCTTCCAGATCAAACTTTCTGTGATTCTGTATGTGCATGTGTTAATACACAGAAACTGCTTAGAACAGTGCCTAGTAAATGATAAGTACTAGATCAATGTTAGCGATTATTATTATAAGAAGGGAAGACTTAAAAATACACCAACTCGGCTGGGCACGGTGGCTCACGCCTGTAATCCCAACACTTTGAGAGGCCGAGGTGGGCAGATCACGAGGTCAGGAGATCGAGACCATCGTGGCTAGCACGGTGAAACTCCGTCTCTACTAAAAATACAAAAAATTAGCCGGGCGTGGTTGTGGGCGCCTGTGGTCCCAGCTGTTCAGGGGGCTAAGGCAGGAGAATGGCGTGAACCCGGGAGGCGGAGGTTGCAGTGAGCCAAGATCGTGCCACTGCACTCCAGCCTGGGCGACAGAGCGAGATTCCGTCTAAAAAAAAATACACCAACTCTGAGATATAAGAACTGTGATAAACTCAGGTCAGTTTGCAAAAGTATCTGCTAGTTTCCTAAAATGGCAACAGAACCCTGGGCAAAGTTAGCCTAAGAGCTGCAGCCTCAGGCCTTAGGGCCTCCAGCACAGGCTCCGAGGCCTGCGGTCCATGTCACTGCTCCTCAGGAATGTGCATGGAAGGCTCCACTCTGTCCAGTCTAGACAGATGATGTCAAGCAGGCTACCTTGGCATCCCCTTTGTGTGGCACCAGCAGTGACCCGCCAGCCTCTCCTTGCCCATGCCTGGCAGACCCATAAACCACTCAGTCGACTTGCAGAGCTCTGATAACGGCATCCAGATTCAGGCTTCTCTCATAGTCTCAGGTCTTCCTCTCTTCCTCTGAAGACGTTTGAATCCTTGGACAACTTTGACCGACATGATTTCCACCACTCCAAGGAGAATTTTCCTACCACAGACAATGTGCTGTTCCTGAAAGCCTTTAATTCTTTGGTGCTTTTGTGGGTTGGTTCTGACTTCTATAGGAGATCCAGGAATGATGTAGGTATTGTGAGTGGAATTTGTTTTTTTCAAAATCTGAATTAAGCAGCTAATAGGAACCCATGTAATTTGTGTGACAAGTGACAGCTTGTGTGAAAATAACCTACCCATATCCTGTTACACATTTGCATCCATTATGCTCCGGAAAGCCGTCTGTCACTGGTAGACCATTAAGACATACTCACCAGTGTTTTCCTAGGTGAAAGGGTAATTATTTTTGCTGTTGGTTCGTAATTTATTAATAATCAGTGAAGAACATTAAGGTAAGGGATTATTTCAAACAAAGTGACAGATCAAATGTGTGGAAGGCATAGTGATCTAGCGGTTGATAAGAAAAGCTATTATCATAAGGATAAGCTTTAGTTTGGGATCTGAATATGCTACTACTGATTGGCATTTCACATAAATAAGGTGCATGCAGAAGATGGAATAGACACTAGGGAGAATACCAGTAACTAGTTTTGCTTCGGAAGGAATCACCATGCTCTGGAGTAAAAGCACAATTTCCTGTAATGTTACATGCATGCTAATAGTGATATGCAGAATGATAAGTGGTATGTGAACATTTAAAAAATAGTTGTATATTCATCTGAAATGTGTTAGGGAAAGAGTATAAAAAGATACCAAACCTGTGATTTCTTGGATTATTATTTATTTATTTCACTTAGGCTGAGATTAAACTAGATATTATGTTTTTAAAAAATGAGTTGGCTGGGCGCTGTGGTTCAAGCCTGTAGTCTCAGCACTTTGGGAGGCCCAGGTGGGAGGAGCACTTGAGCCCAAAAGTTCAAGACCAGCCTGGGCAACATGGCGAAACCCTGTCTCTACAAAAAATACAAAAATTAGCTGCATGTCGTGGTGCATGCCTGTAGTCCCTGCTACTCAGGAGGCTGAGGTGGGAGGATGGCTTGAGCCTGGAAGGTGGAGGCTGCGGTTAGCTGAGACTGTGCCACTGAGACACTGCACTCTAGCCTGGGTGACAGAGCAAGACCCTGTCTCAAAAAAGAAAATAAAGAAAGTGAGTTAAAGGAAAGAAAGAAGTAAATAATAGTAAAGTTGGTATTTCAGATATGACAAAAATGGAAACGACGATGTGCACATGAATGATGTTTAGGGAACATTGGACTAAAGACTGGTTCCCTTGGAAGCTTGAAATTAGCCTTTGTTAACTAGGGATAGCCCACATCTTCACGTATCTTGTGATGAAACCATCTGGAGCTCTTACAACATTCCATCTTTTCCTTAAAATTTCAGCGTAATATTATTCTTTAGCTTGTGAAGCAAAAACCAAAATAAAACATGGAATGCAAGTCAAAGCAGGTACTGGGAGGAATTGCCTTGATTCTTCTGTGAGAGGAAAGGATTAAAGTTTTGAGTGAGTTTACAGATGAGCTGAGGTCTCAGCTGAACTCTGCCACTAGTTTCCTATTTGATTTCTGGGATGACTTCAACTTTCCCTGGACCTCCGTTTCCACATCTGTAAAAGCAGGAGTTGAGGTATTTCCAAGGTGCCTTCCAGCCCTGACTTTTTGATTCAGTCAGAATTCTGAGAGACAGGAAAAGTGATACCACCTTAGTAGCAGGATGTTGTGGGAAATTTTACACATTTCTGTGTCTCCCAAGAGGGTTACTAACACCATAAATTCAGCTGATCTATTAAGATGGACTAAATGACTTCTTAAAAGGGGGCAACACTTATTTGGAATGTAAATTCATATGTCCTTGTTTTTGTTTGTTTGTTTTTGAGACAAAGTCTTGCTCAGCCACCCAGGCTGGAGTGCGAGATCATGGTTCACTGCAACCACTGTCTCCCAGGTTCAAGCGATTCTCCTGTCTCAGCCTCCTGAGTAGCTGGGATTACAGGCACCTGCCATCATGCCTGGCTAATTTTTGTATTTTAGTAGAGACAGGGTTTCACCATGTTGGCCAGGCTGGTCTTGAACTCCTGACCTTAGGTGATCTGCCCACCTCAGCCTCCCAAAGTGCTAGGATTACAGGCATGAGCTACCACACCTGGCCTGTATGTGCTTGTTAAAGCAAAACCACGTCCCATTTCTTTTCCATCACACCCACGATCGTTTTGGTGACTGGTGTCACTAGCTCAGATCAGGGAGAGGGTCAAAGATGATGTCCCAAGGGAAGAGAACTCTAAAGCCGATTCTTGTAAAAAGGAGGAAGTTAGTGAAATGGAAAAAAAGCAATTCAATCAGAGAGAGTAGCTTGAACCAAGACCCACAGATGAAAAAAACATAGTTCATTTAGGGAAATGTAAGTATTCACTGATGTAGCAAATGATCATTGTGTTGCCTACCTTTGCCAGGCACTGTGAGGATACAACAGTGATCAATACAGACAGTTGTTGGGGCAGGCTGCAGTGCTAGAGGTGGGGTGGGGATGGGGGAGAAGGGAGAGATTATTGAGTGAGGCTGGCTCATGAAGGGCCTCAAAGGCCTTGCTGGGCATGTTGGACTTCTAGCAAGACACAATCCACTGTAAGAGGCAAGTGGTTAGGAGAGCTTTCAGATCAGGAGAATTGTGGGAAAGACAGAGGAGGCTTTGGGATATGCTCACCCTTGTTTAAAGGGATGGTCTTCTAGATGTCCAACAGCTCAGTCTACTCTGGGGGCTTTTCCTTGAGGGAGTCTTTCTGAATTAGATGGCTGGAAGGCCTTCTAGCCTATATTTATAAACACCCTTGGCCCTCTGGCTCTGGGAGTGAGGGATGGTGGATGACTGTACCTAGCAGGTGTTTCTGTTGGGACCTCAGATGCTGATTCACAGTCAGATTTGGTGAAAGCTAACTCTTTTCTTTGAGCTTTTCTCCTTGGACAAGGAAGCACTTGTTCTAGAAGATATTTCTGTAGATGGAAAACATGGGCATGCTTGCCCTTGCAAAAATTCTTCATTTGTAGCTAATTTGCACAGACCACATAAGGTATCATTCTAGAGGCAAACTGCTTGTTCTTTCTGATTAGTTTAGACACAAGCAGCCTGTTCCTTCTTATCAAGCAGATCTGGATAAGCTGGTTGCCAATTTGATGAAAATGCCAACATTGCAGTACATGAGACAGTGATGAACCAGGAAGCCAGAGGTGGGGACGAGCTTTCTAGAAGAAGTTAGCTACATTATGGGAGAGAGGATAAAGGGAACCTTGGAACACAGCTTCTTGTAGTGATTCACACAGCTATTTAAAACTTCAGTAAAGAAGAGATCCTGCCACCGCCCCCCACCAGAAAAAAACCCAAACATAGAAAGAGTCCCACCACCACTATTTGTTTTAAGCTTTGCATTTGATATTCCTCCATTTGAAGATTTAAAAAACAAAGGAAGACTGCTTGTCTGGTGGACTTGTTGGACTGACCGAGTTCAAAATGTAGCTCTGCTGCTTACTAGCTTTGTGGCCCTGTGCAAATGGCTGAATATCTCTGAACCCGCCTTTTTTATATCTTCTTTAATGGATTTTGGGGAGGAGTAAATTTAAAGAACTTGGCAAAGCTCTTAATAAGTGTTCAATCAATTAGCTATTGTTATCCAGTGGACATTTTTGGGGAGTAGCAATCACTCACCCCTCAACTGCAAACAATATAGTAATGATAACAGCTTACATACATAGAGTATAGAATTAAGCAATATATATTATATATATATTTTTTGTTGCACAAATGTGAGCTCAACTGGGATGGGAAGGAAAGTAAGGTAACTGTTCCTTCCACTTTACAGGAGTGTAAACGAGAATTAGTTTACTGAAATGAGAGCAGTTAACTGATTTGAGTAAGTACTTGGAGTGAATAGGAGATAGAACTGGTGCACAAACTTTATTTATTTATTTATTTATTTATTTATGGAGACAGAGTCTCACTCTGTTGCCCAGGCCAGAGTGCAGTGGCGTGATCTCAGCTCACTGCAACCTCTGCCTCCTGGGTTCAAGCAATTCTCCTTCATCAGCTTCCTGAGTAGCTGGGATTACAGGCATGTGCTAACATGCCCAGCTAATTTTTTTTTTTTTTTTTGAGACAGAGTCTCGCTTTGTCACCCAGGTTGGAGTGCAGTGGCGCAATCTCGGCTCACTGCAAGCTCTGTCTCCCGGGTTCACACCATTCTGCTGCCTCAGCTTCCCGAATAGCTGGGACTACAGGCGCCCGCCACCGCGCCCGGCTAATTTTTTGTATTTTTAGTAGAGACGGGGTTTCACTGTGTTAGCCAGGATGGTCTCAATCTCCTGACCTCGTGATCCACCCGCCTCGGCCTCCCAAAGTGCTGGGATTACAGGCGTGAACCACTGTGCCCGGCCTTTTTTTTTTTTTTTTTTTTTTTTAATAGAGACGGGGTTTCACCATGTTGGCCAGGCTGGTCTTGAACTCCTGGGCTCAAGTGATCCACCTGCCTCAGCCTCCCAAAGTGCTGGGAGCCACAGTGCCTAGCCTGCCACACAAACTTTAATCTTTTGCAGTACAATACTGTTTGCCTGAGACAAAACTTGAAAATCCAAAACCCAGTATTCTGTTTTATTTGAGCTTCTTGCAGTGTTGGGAAGGTTGTGTGCAAGTTAATATAGCTTGGAAAGTGAGCGTGATTAAATCTTTGCAAAGGCAGCACACAGCTATGGTGATGTCCCCTAACAACCTTCTGCATCATCAACCGTGGATGTAAGGGTTGGGCCTTGCATCTTTCTCAGAAGGCTCCTACTCAAGTCTGTATCTTCCAGCTTTGTTTTTTGTTGGTTCACTGTGGTTTATGGGGCTAGGTAACCTGTACATTGTAGATTCTAATCTGGTGACCTGCATGTTCCTTCTTGTTACAACGGGTCTAAAATTCCATGGTTTAAGTCATAGCTTAAATGCCATTCCTTCATATCTGCAGAGATTGATTTTTCTGCAACTGAAGACCTCCAGCATAAGCTATTCTTGCAAAATGTCATATTACACAGCAGAAAGGGGACTGGACGGACTGTGGGCACACCTAACTGGGTTCTAATCCTGCAGCAAGATATTTCATCTCCGTGGGTGACATTTCCCCTTGTCTATGATGAGGGAGCTGAAGTCAGTAATATCCAAGACTCTTTCAGCTTTTAAATTCTATGATATTTAAGCAGTAGTTTAGGAACAATTTAAAAAAATTGAAAGGAACACCTGACTGAAACTGTGAATTGGTACATTGTGGAGACGTGAATATTTTTATCCTTTTAAAAGTTTGTTTTGTAGCTATACCAGAGATCATAAAAACATGTTATTAAGCAGTTTCTGTGTATTCTCCTTGCATGAAAGTGGAAAGTTTTTTTTTAATTCAAAAAGGTCTTTTATTCTTATTTTCTTCAAAAATATTTTAAAATGAGTTGTCATCTGGTCCAGAAGTTCCTACACCTGGTTTATGGTCAGAAAGATGTGGAGAACTTTAGAAAGTATAGGATTCCTGGGTATCTCTTGGACCTACGGACTCAGAATGTCTGCGTTGTGGGGTTCAGCAGTCTATGTTAAAACCCAAACAGATAGTCAAGAGAACTCCCTGGGTGAGTCTGATGAACAGCCAACTTTGAGAGATCACTGCTAAGTTAGCTTGAGTTCTGTGATTTTGATGCGGTCAGTTTCTGATCGCTGGCTCTGCCTTCCTCATTCCAATATTTTCCCAGTGTCTGCAGATTATTCCCCCATGGGAATAATCTGGGGGATCAATTATTTAACTGTAAAATGCTGGGATGTGTGTATGAGAGGAAGCCCAGGCCTGTGCTAAGGTCTGGGGATGGCTTTTCCAGTTTGTACAGGATGACTGTTTGGGTGCAAATCAAACCCTGTCTTGGTGCCCTGCAGTCTCACTTTGCCATCCTCTTCTCACATGGGTTCTGCCTTCTCACATGTTGAGAGAGTTGCCAGGGTTTATCCACACTGTAGCATGTGTCAGTATGTGCCTTCTTCATATAAGTCAGAAGTCCCATCATATTCAGATGGCATCCTTCTATTTTGGGGGTAACAGCTTTATTGAGATATGATTCACATACCATAATATTCACCCACTAAAATGTACAACCCACTGGTTTTTAGTATATTCACAAATACCTGCAACCATCTCCACAGTCAATTTTAGAATATTTTCATCACCCTGCAGAGAAACCCGGTACTCTCAGCTATCATTCCCTTGCCCCTCCATTCCCCTGGCCCTAGGCAACCACTGATCTGCTTTCTCTCCTTGTAGATTTGCCTGTTCTAGACATTTCATATAAACTAGATGTTTCATATAAATGAAATCATACAATGTGTGGTCTTTTTTGACTGCTTCTTTCACTTAGTATAATGTTGCCAGAGTTTATCCACATTGTAGCACGTGTCAGTACAGATTCCTTTTATGGTGAAATAATATTCCATTGTGTGGATATCCCACATTTTATTTATCCATTTATCCACTGATAGACATTTGGGTTGTTTCTACTTTCTGGCTACTATGAATAATGCTGCTGTGAACATTTGGTTAAGAACTTTTGTGTGGCTACATTTTTATTTCTCTTGGGTATATACCTAGGAGTAGAATTGTTGTGGGTCATATGGCAACTTTATGTCTAACATTTAGAGGAGCTCCCAGACTGTTTTCTGAAGTGGCTACACCATTTTGCATTCCCGTCAGCAGTGTAGGAGGGTTCCAATTTCTCCATGTCCTTGTCAACACTACTTATTTACCATTTTTTTTGTTTTTTCAAATGATAAACATCCTAATGAATATGGAGTGATATCTCATTGTGGTTTGCTTTCTTCCATTTTTAAGTGGTTACCACCAAACATAATGAATTTACTTAATTTGACCAGGGAAGGCCTTTTTAAGATTAAAATAAACTCTTAATTGTTCATTGTAGATAGACTAGAAAATAACAGACAAATAAAAAAGTCCAAAACCCAAATCACCCACAGTCTTACCATCTAGGGAAAACCAGTGTTACACTGTGGACTGCCTCTTTTTAGAATCCTCTCCTATGTAATCATCACTTTTTAAAAGAGAACTTTTTAGATCCAGTGAAACCAATTGGTAGAATTATGTAGCAGATATTTTTGAGCTTTCCTACTCCCCATTTGAGATGAGTCCAGGGTTGGGCCTCTCTACTATTCATACCTGCAAAGACTCTGACCTGGGCAGTAAATGCTTTAAGAATTGCCTTTTAAAAATCCACCCTAAAATTTTGGGTCAATCATCAGAGATGATGTTATGACATGCATTTGTCTTTGTGTCATCTAATGAATCTAATATGATCAATATTTAAAAATTAAAATGTAAAAAAAAAAAACCATATGCCTCTGCCAGCAGCATGTCAAAGATTTTTTAGGTTCAGGATATGAGGGAATGTAGGTCACCTCCAACCTTCACTCCAAGGCCATATTCAGTGTCTAAGTGGCATCAGGAATTTTTGTTCAGTGACAGGAAAACAAGATTGAAGAAGAAAGGTTTGCTTCTCTGGACTGCCTGAGCTTGGGGACATGTGAGCACCCCCCACAACACCCACTCAGAGGTCCCTTGTGTTTTCTGTTAGACATCACACATTGGCCGACCTCAGATCAGGCCTCCCTCTCTCCTGCCCCTACCACTTGGAAAGAGGTTTAGAGTTAAGTGAGACCAACCTCTCCTGCAGGGGACATCAGTATAACAGCAGCACTTTTGCTATTAATAATTATGCATTTTTCCTGCGAATGCCTTGGAAGAGTGTGAGGGAAGCTAGGATTGTTTTAACTCTCTTTTCTTGATCTCCCTCCTCCTCTGTCTCTCCCACCCCCATCCCAGCTACAAGGTCATGAAAGGATTTAAGAGCTGTGGGGAAAAAGAAAGCATAGCAATGTCGTGGGGGTCCTGGGAGAGTGGGGCAGTGAACCCCTTCAGAAGGTCAGGAGGAGGAAGTGCAGACCTGTGAGAGGTCCAGGGTGGTGGCAGAGAAGTGTTTACTGCCAGCCCCTGGTGAGCCAGTGTATTAGTCTGTTCTCATGCTGCTATAAAGAACTGCCTGAGACTGTGTAATTTGTAAAGGAAAGAGGTTTAATTGCCTCACAGTTCAGCATGGCAGGGGAGGCCTCAGGAAACTTACAATCATGGTGGAAGGGGAAGCAAACACATTCTTTTTCACATGGCAGCAGGAAGGAGAAGTGCTGAACAAAGTGGGGAAAAGCCCCTTTTGAAACCATCAGATCTTGTGGGAACTCACTCACTATCACAAGAACAGCAGCAAGGAGGTACCCACCCCATGATCCAATTACCCTCACTGGGTCCCTTCCAGGACACATAGGGATTATGGGAACTACAATTCAAGATGAGATTTGGGTGGGGACACAGCCAAACCATATCAGCCAGGTACCATGCTGGGCCCTCTTACATCACAAGTGCTCTTGTCACAAATAGCTAAGAAAGTTATATTTTATTCTGACTACTGCTTGGTGAAATAGATGTTATTGGCTGCTTTAAATCCTTTTTGGAACAAGGCTATGTGTAAACAGTTAAGCTGCCATCCATATTTAATGGACACATTTGAAGGCTCAGAGAGGTGAGATGACTTGTCTGATATCACACAATACACAACAGAGCCTAGCGTTGCTGTTCTGCCTTGATTCCAAAGTCTTGTGAGAATGTCTGTTTAATTTATTTTCTGCAGCTTAGGATTCTATGTCCAGTACTCTCTTTGGAGCCATGAGGTGGAGTTGGATGAGCAGGCTGCTGTCCTGCTTGGTAGGAAGGAGGCTGCCATCCCAGCCAGGGTGTTTGGAGATTTGGAAGAGGATCTGGCTGGGGAATGGTGTCTCTACCAAGCCCCCTCCTTATTTAGCCCCAGGGGCAAGTGAATGCTGTGATTGCTGACTTTAGGTCCCATATTTTGCCCCCAGAATAAGTGGAGTGAAAGAGGGAAGAGGTTTAAGCAGTGTTTCCAAAGCTTTTACAAAGCCTTTCGTGGTTGGGGATTCGGATTTAGAGTCAGGTCTGGGTTGGTGTTCAGACCCCTCAACCTACTGGCTTCTGACCTCAGGCTGCTTACAGCAACTCCATTTACCTTCATTTATGGGGGATAATGCTATCCATTTTGTAGGATTATTGGGAGGATAATGCTTGGCACATAGTAAATGCTCAAGGAATATTCTTTATGACTTTTATCCCCCACCCCAACCCCCTGCCATAGCCTTTCCTCCTTCCCTTGCTTTCTCATACACCTCTGGAAGGCCCTCCCTGCTACCCTTTGCCATCTACCCCCATGAAGACCCAGTAGGCTCAGCTATTTTATGGAAACTTCTTCAGGAAGTTCATTGATTCAGCCTTTGTTTGGAGTTTGATGGTTGGCTGGGGGCTTTTAGGTTCTGGGAGACTCATTTGCTGAACACATTCTCCCAAGGCTGTGTGTAGCTTCCCCCTTGATACCTATCTGGGGCCAGAGCTGATCTATCAATTCTTTATTAAGAACAGTTATTTTTTATTTATGATGCTTGTGGGTTCATTAAAAATGGCACTCCCTGTTGGGGATAGCAGCGAAGCTTTTAGCCAGTTTTTATCAGGTTGTTAGAGTAGATATGAATATTTTAATAGAGAGAAAGAGCAAAGCCTTCAACAAACTTAATTTGTTCTAGAATTTAAGTGACAGGCTTAACAGGGGTGCCTAGTAATTCAGTATAATCAGCCCAGATAGTGGAATAAAGAACACAATTAAATGGACCAGGGAGCTTTTCCAGGGGGTTTTTACCCCCCTGAGCAGCTGTAAATCACTATATCCCTGGATCCTTTTAGGCCATGTAAGATCTAGCATAGCCACAGGCAGCTTCTAGGCCCCATTACGTTCCCAAGGAAGCCAGGAGAGTGTTTTTGTAGATTCCATTTTAACATTTATAGAATTCTTTTCCCAAGATGCTGATCTTATTAAATTATGTACAAAAAGATGGATAAGCCAGGCCACTGCTGTCCGTCAAAAGCATATTTGAGGCCTCCATCTTGATTGCAATCATAGAGATTCTGGCGAGTTTCTTCATGTAGTTTAAAAAAGTATCCACTTGGGGGAGCTTTATGATTGACTTTTAATATCCATATCAGATTTTATGTGCAACGTGAGATCCAGATGACTGCTCCCCAACACCCACTGCACTGACAAGCTAGTGAAGCAAGCAATGGTTGCAGAAATACAGTGATAAATCAGTGTGAGTGGCTTTACTTTATTGGCAATTCCTCCCTCTGGATTTTCAAGTTAGTCTTGATTTTTTAAAAGCTTTCCCTTCAAACTAAAATAGTTTAATAAAGACACAGTAAAGAATAGCAGTACTTTCTGTTGTTTCCTGGACAAGTATTCTGCATATATATTCAGACATCAGATGCACACTTAAGTAAGTGCATGTCTCAGTTAAACAGCCAAAGCACTGGAAAAATCTCCTTTGAAGTTTTATGAACATGGTCAATTGCAAGGAAGATAAAATCATAAAACCAAATGTCTGAGCAGGGAATGCTATTTTCTAGTGTATTCACCATGTAACTCTCCATCGCCCTTTCTTTCTCCCAAATAGATGGGGCATGGAGAGGTCTAATGAAGGGCAATCCATTGCTGCCCGGGCATAAGTCCAGGTTCCAGATGGTCTTTAGGTCTACCCAGATTTGGACAGTTTTGAAATAATGGAAAGCGAGTTAGGGTTCCTAATTAGGACATTTATAGAGAATGTTTTCACAATATGGATGCACAATTAACCTCTTTTACTATGGACTAAAATGAAACCAATTAGAAAACCACATATACAAGTGTGCCTCTATGTGTCCACCTGCCCACATAGAGGGAGCTGGAAAGTGTTTCTTAGAAGGAGATGGCTTGGTTACTGTATAAACCTCAGTCTCACTCTGTTCTCTTCTCTTTCTCCTTTGTCCTCTTCTTTTGAGTTGCTGGAGCATCATAGAGTCTCCTGTCATTTGCTTGGTGTCCAGTGATTATGTTCATATGGCTTTGCTATCTTGACAAAGCGTCTTTCTTATTTTTTCTGCTCTCTTTCTGGAAGAGGAAGGAAGAGTCCTTCTGGGCCACTTTTCAGCCTTTTGTCCTGTTGATGAACATCCCGGCATCTGAGCAGCTCCTATTTCTTTCTGCATTTGCTTCCTTTGATGCCATTCCCTCCCACTTCAGGGGACTCAGTCTCACCTTGCTGCATCTCTGTCTCTCTTATTGGACAGCCTGATTGTCTCCACACAAGCGTCACACTCTCTGTTGTCATCTGCCCTATGAGGACAAATTGCAGATACCTGCTCCTGCAAAGATCAACCGCCTGCCCTACCCACTTGCTCACCATCTTCATTGGTCACATCGATCTTTCACTGTCTGCTCAATGGAGAAGAAATGTCATTTCCTCAGGAATCCTGTGCTTCCTACCAGGAAGACATTTATTCAAGGAACAAAAAAGCTCCACACTCCTATTTTCATGGTATTTTCTGGCCTTTTTGCTTAATGCAGTGGTTTTCAAGCTTTCTCTTTTTAACCACAGATGCTATGATTTAATTCTTAGAACTAAGTCATATGCGAAAGCCCAGCCCAGTCTGCGCCTGGCTTCTCATTTCCTATGTGGCAGCTCATTTCCTAAAAGACAGCTGCACCAGCTCCTGCTAGGCCCCTTTGCAATGAGATTCTGCTGCTTTTCCCATCAAGGTGGAGCCTGTTTCCCCTCTCCTTGATCTGGTGGCCTTGTATCTTGCTTTGACCAACAGAATGTGGTGGAAGTGATGCTATGCAAGTCAGGAGGTGTTGCAGCTTCCACTTCAGTCCTTTTGGGTTCTTGTCCTGAGCACCATGTGTAGAAACTGCTCTAGCTTATTAGAGGATAAGCGGAGACATGGAGGAGAACTGAGGCCACACAACCAACATCCAGCACCGAGTGCCAGATGCTTGAGAGAGGAGGCATCTTGGACTTCCCACTGATTGTTGCAGGATGGGTGAGCTTTAGGGAAGGCATCAGAGGAACTGCCCAGCAAAGTACAGAAACTGGAGAAATGGCCAATTCTTATTATTTTAAGCCACTCAATTTTGTGTCATTTTGCTATGTAGAAATAGATAACTGAAACAGATGCCATTCAGGAAGACCCTACATTAATAAGTCTGTGTGTGTGTGTGTGTGTGTGTGTGTGTGTGTTTGTGTGTAATCAGCTTAATTTAAATTGTAAAGTGAGTTAGTGGGTTTCTGCATACTAACAATGTAAACACAGGCTGCTTCATGTTGCTGCCTCCTGTCCCCACTCCCCTGCCTTAAAATGCCATACTACATCCTGGCTGAGTTTACTGTGTATGTTCACATACCATGAACATTTTATAGATGCTTTGTGGAAAGCTTTTATAAAATCAGATTTATATACGGTAAGTCTCACATCACTTAACGTTGGCTAAGAATGACCTGTGTTTAAGGGCATAGAAAGGCTGATCTGCTTTGAAGACTGCAGTGGTGCTCCCTTGAGGGACTCTAATGAACCCCAGGACTGTGATGGGGAGGCTGATCCTTTAACACATCCCAGTGCCTGCTGGAAAATGTACAGTCATCAGGATCAGCCAAACTGAATAGGTATATTTAATGTGTGATATGGTTTTGCTGTGTCCCTACCTAAATCTCATCTTGAATTGTAGTTCCCATTATCCCCATGTGTCATGGGAGGGACCTGCTGGGAGGTAATTGGATCATGGGGATGATAGTTTTATGAGGGGCTTTTTCCCCTTTGCTTGGCTCGCATTCTTTCTCCTGCCGCCCTGTTAGGAGGTGCCTTCCACCATGATTGTAAGTCCCCTGAGGCCTCCCCAGCCATGCAGAACTGTGGGTCAATTAAACTTCTTTTCTATATAAATTACCCAGTCTCAGATATTCATAGCACTGTGAGAACAGAGTAATACAATGTACATATGTTACTTTTCTCCTGAAAGTAGGTTATTTTTAAAAGTTCTATTTATACAATAGGGCTATTATTGCAATTAACCTGTTCCTGACTGTTAGACTCAGTGTCCATTTTCCTAGTACTACCTTGGTCATAATTGCCATATTCTCACTCCGTACTATATGTCAGGCTCTGTGCATACATTTATTCTTCTGAAAGACCCTGGGAAGCAAAATGAGGACTCAGAGAGTTAAGACATTTGTCCATTAGAGCTATGGCACTGTACAACTCCAGGGGGTGCCATTCACATTGTTGTCTATGTCACACGATATCCCTGCTTAAGATAAAAATCTAGGGAATGGTGACGCTTTAATAACCTCTGACTTCCCCAACCTACGTTATTTCCTCTGTCTATCTATATATTTGACTAATGATCTATCAAATCATTGATTCTTCTGTCCATGTATCCAACTATCCCTCCCTCCATCCCTCTCTCCCCCTCTATCCACCTACTTGCCCACTCATCCATTTGGTGGAATCAATGAAGGTGTTGAATACTCTGTGAAAGGCCTGGGCTGGGCATAGTGGCTTATGCCTTTAATCCCAGCACTTTGGGAGGCTGAGGTGGGAGGCTTGCTTGAGCCCAAGAGTTCAAGACCAGCTGGGTAACAGGGTGAGAACCCATCCCTACAATAAATAAATAAATAAATAAATAAATAAATAAATAAATAAATAAGCTAGCAATGTGTCGTGGCATGTGCTTGGAGTCTTAGCTACTCGGGAGGCTGAGGTGGGAGAATCATTTGAGCCCAGGTTCAAGTTGGCAGTGAGACATGATCATGCCACTGCACTCAGCCTGGGCAAAATACACCTGGAAACATGATTTCTCTGCTGCCTGTTCTTATTTTCAAGTTCATTTGAGATAAAAAAATTTTGATTATGGAATATTTAAAATATTTAGAAAAGAAAATAATTTTCCAGAAACCCATGTACCCACAACCCAAATTTCATATTGTACTAAATTTGCTTCAAATGTCCTTTGTCTCACTTTTAAAGAAAGAGAGTAGAACAGAGTGAAAGCCCTGCCCCTCCCTTTCACTTCTTTCCCTAGCTTAAAGAGGGCACGTCACATCCCTGTCACATTTCCATGCATGGTCTTATACTTTTACTACATCTGTATGCATCCATAAATAAATAAGATTTAGTATTGTTTCAAGTTTTTGTAGTTTGCATCAATATGTGTACTATCAATGTACTTTTACAACTTGCTTTTGACCTTTAACACTATATTTTTGAGACTGATTCATTTTGACACATATATATCTACTGATTGACAGTTAAGTTTTTACTTCTTTTATTATTACAAATAATGCTGTGACAAACATCCTGGAACATATTTCCTTGTTCACATCTGCATGAGCTTCTATAGGGCAGACACCAGGAGTGGAATTGCACATCTTCAGTTTTCCTTGCCAAAATACTTTCTAAAGTGGTTGTACCAGTTTACACCCACCAGTACTATATGAGTGCTTCTATTTTCCCACATGCTCAGCTACATTCCATGTTATCTAGCTTGCATCAAATGGTATCTCATTTTTGATTTCCATTTCCCTGAGCATTTTTTTTTTGCATAGGTTCGTTGCATAGTTTGTTTGTTTTTTGTTTTGCTTTTTGAGATGGAGTCTCACTCTGTTGCCAGGCTGGAGTGCAGTGGTGTGATCTCGGCTCACTGCAACCTCCGCCTCCCAGGTTCAAGTGATCCTCCTGCCTCAGCCTCCTGAGTAGCTGGGATTACAGGCATGCACCACCACACCCAGCTAATTTTTTGTATTTTTAGTAGAGATGGGGCTTCACCATGTTGGCCAGGATGGTCTCGATCTCTTGACCTGGTGATCCACCTGCCTCAGCCTCCCAAAGTGCTGGGATTACAGGCGTGAGCTGTTTGTTTTTTGAGACAGGGGCTCACTCTGTCACTCAGGCTGGAGCGCAGTGGCACAATCTCAGTCCACTTCAACCTCTGCCTCTGGGGCTCAAGCAATCCTCCCCACTGCAGCCTCATAAGTAGCTGGGATTATAGGCACATGCCACCATGCCTGGCTGGGGTTTTGCCATGGTGCCCAGGCTGGTCTCAAACTCCTGGGCTCGAGCAATCTGCCCACCTTGGCCTCCCAAAGTGTTGGAATTGCAGGTATACAGGCATGAGCCACTGCACCTGTCCATGTTGCATAGTTTTATAGATCATCCATGTTTCCTCTTTTGTGAAATGCTTATTCATAATTAATATTCTTTACATTTTTTTTCCACTGGGTAGTCTCACCTTATTGATTCATAGGCGGTTTTCTTGTTTCTGTTTTGTTTTTAAAATCTTTTCTGGAAACAGGTCCTTTGTCAGTTAATTGCATTGCACGTACCTTCCCCAGTACTTGTTTTTTTAAAAAAGCTTGGTTCTGCCTATTTCTTTTCTTTTCTTATCTTTGATCTTTTTTTGTTTCTTTCTTTCTTTCTTTTTTTTTTTTAAGACAAGGTCTCACTTTGTCACCCGGGCTGGAGTGCAGTGGTGCAGTCTCGGCTCACTGCAACCTCTGTCTCCTGGGTTTAAGCAATTCTCCTCCCCTCAGCCTCCCAGGTAGCTGGGATCACAGGCATGTGGGCCACCATGCCCGGCTACTTTTTGTACTTTTAATAGAGAGGGGGCTTCACCATCTTGGCCAGGCTGGTCTTGAACTCCTGACCTCAGGTGATCCAACTACCTCGGTCTTCCAAAGTGTTGGGATTACAGGCATGAGCCACTGCGCATGTCCCAGAAGAGATTTTTAGAAAAACATTTATGGAACTCCCTATTATGGGCTGTGCACTATGCTAAGCACTTCACATGTATTGACCAATCTTTTAAAATTTTTTAATTAAAACATTTTTATTTGTATAAATTTAAGAGGCACAAGTGCAATTCTGTTATGTGAATATACTGTGTAGTAGTGAAGTCTAGGCTTTTAGAGAATCTGTCACTCAAATAATGCACACTGGTACCCATTAAGTAATTTCTCATTATCCACCCCCTTGGCAATCCCCTCTCACTCTCCTGAGTCTCCAGTGTCTAACACTCCACCCTCTATGTCCATGTGTACACATTATTTAGCTCCCACTTACAAGAGAGAAGACGTGATATTTGTCTTTGTGAGTTGTTTCACTTAATGACCTCCAGTTCCATCCATATTTCTGTAAATGACATAATTTCATTCTTTTTTATGGGTGAACAGTATTTTGTTGTGTATATGTACCACAGTTTCTTTCTTTCCTTTTTTTTTTTTTTTTTTTTTTGAGATAAGGTCTCACTCTATTGCCCAGGCTGGAGTGCGGTGGTGTGATCATGGCTCACTGCAGCCTTGAACTCCTGGGCTGAAGTGATCCTGAGTAGCTGTGACTACAGGCACATGCCACCATGGTTGGCTTTTTTTTTTCTTTTTTGTTAGAGACGGGATCTCGATATGTTGCCCAGAATGGTACCACATTTTCTTTATCCCGTCATCTGTTGATGGATACCTAAGTATCCATCAATGTTATCTCATTGATAACAACACAATGAGATAGGTGCAGTTATTATCCCCATTTTAATGATGAGCAAACTAATGCTTAGAGAGCCCAAGTTATTGCCCCAAATTATGCAGCAATCAAGAAATGGTTCCAGAAGAACCAAGAAATTAGTCTCCAGGAAGTTAGTTCCAAGACTTGTGTAATCACTAAAAAGAAGTGCTTCTCAATGCCACAGTTCCTAAGCTCCAGAGCTTACTGGAAGAGAGACACATGTAAACAGGTCCCATCACACAGTGATAAAGCCTAGGAAAACGCATATTGCCCTAGGGGACTGGAGAGGGCTTCATGGAAGAAATGGCCTTTGAGCTGAGTGAATGAGAATGAGATGTTTGTGCTAGGAGCTAGGCAGACAAAGGGAATAGTGTGTGTATGTGCATGTGCATGTGAACACGCTCTCTCTATGTGGGGAGGGGAAGGACATTCCAGGCAGAGGGAGCATGTGCAGAGGCCTGGAGGCTAGAGAGAGTACAGCATGTTCTATGCATTGTAAGCAGCTCAGTATATTTGGAAGGTGGAATTTACGGGTGGGGTGATTAGAAATGAGGCCAGGAACAGTGCCTGGCACTTGGCTGTCATTATTATTTGTTGAATAAATGAATGAATAAAAGCTTTTAGTGTTACAAATGCAATCATGAGGCAAGCCCTTAATTAACTTGAATGTTCAAGGCATTGTCCCTTATAATTAACAGGGCTTCTCAAAAACTTTCTTCCTGAACTTATGAGGAAATGTCTGAGTCTTACTTCCCTATATTGAGAAGCACAGTTTAGCAAGTCCAATTCAGTCTTTTGTCACTAAGGCTCTTTCAAGTCTCCTAAGCAAAAATTTGGAATGTTATAGGTCATTACCTAAGACTGGAGCTGTTGATGCAGCTCGTTTAGAAGACTGAGTTAAATGAACCTATTCCCTCTAAGTTCATTCCCACAAGTATTGCAATGTGGGTAATTTGGGTTATTTATGCTTAGGATGGGTTTGTTTTCAGGTAAGATAGACCTATTATGAATTTAAAATATTTGTGTAGAGTCAACTCATTAACTAGCACCATCTTTTTACTAAAGGCAAATGGATCTATATTTCTCTCTCTCTCTTTTTTTTTTCTTTTTGAGACAGGGTCTCACGCTGCCATCCAGGCTGGAGTGCAGTGGCGTGATCTCAGCTCACTGCAACCTCGACTTCCCAGGCTCAGGTGATCCTCCCACCACATCCTCTGGAGTAGCTGGAACTACAGGCGTGTGCCACCACACCTGGCTAATTTTTTGTATTTTTGGTAGAGAAGGAGTTTCACCATATTGCCCAGGCTGGTTTCAAACTCCCGGGCTCAAGTGATGCACTAGCCTAGGCTTCCCAAGGTGCTGGGATTATAGGCATGACCCACTGCACCTGGCCGGACCTATGTTCCTTTCAAGACAAATAGATGACATCTTTGCTCATAGGAGCAAGAGTTTTGGCTCCTTATGCTGACCCAGCAATTGCTAGAGTGTGGTTTTGTTAAAGAGAGGTTAATAAGAGGAGAAATACAAGTTGGGCAAATGAAATAGTTACAATCGCTTGGTTCATACCATGGTGTTTTTTGTTTGTTTGTTTGTTTGTTTGTTTGACTATGTCTGGTTGGGATATGTAGTTGAGAAGCTGAGAACAAGGTCGACATGTGGGTCGCTTTTCTACCCTTTCATCTACATCCAGGGCTAACTCCACAAATGTTGCTCCTCCCCAGGAAGGAGGTAGATGATTTGTAGCTAACTCTTCAAAGCAATTCAAAGCACATACTCTAAAAACAATGGGCCAGTAGCTCCTCTTTGTGTGTAAAATATCTATTTGGGCACTTCCTGGTATAGGGCTCTGGTAGGATGAAGTTCCTGAGCCCCAGAGAATCAATGTCCTTTGCAGTCCCTTTCCATTGAACAATCTTCAGCCTCTGTGGTGCTGCCGAGGTGGTTCAGGGGAGAAGGGAAGAACTTAGGATTCCATTAGGCTGCAGGGAGAGTTTCCTTTTTACCAAGCTAGGAGCTACTACTGTGGTCTTGGGGATGGAGTAGAAGGTGTTCAAGGAGGCAATAACAAATCCCAACTTGCTGCTCAACCAGTGGGAAGTTGCTGGTGGGGACAGAGGTTTGTTTTTGCCATCTTGAATTCAGATTCATGAGCTATTTTTCTACAGGATCCACGTTATAAATGATATTTAGATTTTCAGACAGCCCACACAACTCTGCTTAAAATGTAGCTGAAGATGAAATATGTTTTAGTGATATTTGTCTTAGTTCATTTGTGTTGCTATAAAGGAATACCTGAGGCTGGGTAAATTATAAAGAAAAGAGGTTTATTTGGCTCACAATTCTGCTGGCTGGAAGACTGGGCATCTAGTGAGGGCCTCAGGGTGCTTCCACTCATGGTGGAAGGCAAAGGGGAGCTGGTGTGTGCAGAGATCACATGGCAGGAGAGAAAGCAGGGTTGGATGTGGGATGATAGACCAAGCTTTTTAAACAACTGCTGTCATGGGAACTAATAGAGCACAAACTTACTCATTAACCTGAGGATGGCACCAAGACATTCATGAGGGATCCACCTCCCTGACCTAGATACCTCCTATTAGGCTCCGCCTCTAACATTGGGGATCACGTTTCAACATGAGGTTTAGAGAGATAAGCATCCAAACTACAGCAATGCTATACTTCTATAAAAGGCAGTATTTTTCAGACTATTTTTTTTCCTGCAGTGCAGCCTTTCTTTCAGACATGTATACAAGGAAGCACAATATATATAACAGCCTAATGCAGAACTGTTTTGGTTGAATGGGGATTGGGCATTATAGGCTGAGTCTGGGTCCTTGAAATTCACTTTCCTGTTGGGATTGCTTCATTAATCACTGCTGTGACCACCCCTTCTGTCCTGAGGGGTCGCTGTGCACCTTACAGCTCCTTTGCAAGAGGGAATACACAGCTCTATGGTCAGTTCTCCAAAGGCCAGAGGGGTAACAGAAGGGAATAAACTTAGCAATGGGAAAAAGGAAAACTATTAATTTTTGAATCAGTGTAGGCTGGCTACATAAGAGTCACCCTGGAAATTTTTAAAAACCTGGGGTCATTCCTCAGAATTCCAGTTCAGTGACCCTAGGATGGGCCATGGAGTCTGTATATTGGAAAGCTCCTGTGGAGGATTCTGATCTGTTGCTATATTTGGAAATCTCTGAACTGGGTCATCTGGCTTTCTGAACACCACTTGGCCTTCAGCTTGTGGCTACCACCTCTAGCAGGGGCATCTTCTTCTAACACAGGGCAGGAGGCAGATCCAGACAAGGGAAGAGAATCCAAAGGAGAGACAGGAGTTTCACATGGGCTTCTCATCTGAAAACTTGTCTCATTCCCATTAATTGCCAGTAGGAGTTGTTATAATCTCCTCTACATAAGGCTTTAGCCTCACCCTCAGGGCCTAATGAAATAAGCACAACAGAATCCAGAACTACGCTTCATCTCCCCCAGAGTGAAACCACGTTGAGAGTAGAAGGGATTTTTTTCTTATAACTGACCTGGGAGCTGGCTAGATGATTTTTTCTTTTTGGAAAAATGTGTTGTAAGTCTAAATGATCCATATAAAGCAACAGTCACAGCCACTAAAAACCTCTTGGATTAGAACCCTTAGGATTGCATGCACTCTGTCAAAGTAATCCTGCCAATTAATGAAATGTTGGTTCATTGTTATTAATTAAAATAATAGGTTCCAGATCCTGAAGAAGGAAACAGAGGCTATTGACGGAGGAAATGGGAAAGTAGCAAGAACTGGAGAGAAAGAAGACAGATTTAGAAGGATTAAGTATGTGGGTGAGTGGGATTCTGGGGTCCTAGGTGAGTGAAGAGCACACTGGTTAATAATCATAATTATAGCTAATGCTGTGCTGAGTACTTTACAGAGTTCATCTCATTTGATCCTCACAGTAACCTCACAATAACCCAAGAAAGTAGATGCCATCCTTACTCCTAGTAAACAGAAGAGGAACCTAAGGCATTATGAAGTTAAGTAATTTACCTTAGGTCATATAGCTAGTTAAGTGTTGGACCAAATTGGAACACTCAGTTAAGTTATTGCAGAACCTGCACTCTTCTGTGCACGTGTGTGTTGTTTTTATGGTTGTGATTGTGACTGAAGTATTTAAGGCAAATCCCAATCCTTATGTCACTTCACTCCTAAATACTTCATTATGCATTTCTAGAAAATATGAATATTTTCTTATATAATGTTTATGTGCCATTATGATGCCTAACTAAATACTTCATTATGCATTTCTAGAAAATATGGATATTTTCTTATACAACTTTTATGTGCCATTATGATACCTAACAAAACTAGCAGTAATTCTTCGATGTTACATGTAATCCAGTCATATTCACATTTCTCTGATTATCCCAAAAATGTCTTTAAAAAATCTTAATTCATACACATCAGGCTGCAAATAATGATCTGTACATTGCAACGTTTGCTACATCACTTAACCTTATTTTAATCTAGAGCAGACTTACCTTTTTAAAAAATGTCATTAACTTGTCGAGGAAACTTGGTCAGTTGTCCCACTGAAGTCCCCAATTTATATTTGCCTGTTTGCTTCTCCATGGTCTCATTTAACTTGCAAAACCTATTTATTTTATTTTATTTTTACTTTTATTTTAGTTTAAGGGGTACATGTAAAGGTTTGTTTTATAGGTAAATTCCATGTTGTGAGGGTTTGGTGTACCAGTTATTTTGTCACCCAGCTAATAAGCATAGTACTGTACAGGTCTATTGTTCCTTTATTTGTGTCCATATGCATTAAGTGTTTAGCTTCCACTTATGAGTTAGGACATGCAGTATTTGGCTTTCTGTTCCTGCATAAGTTCCCTGAGGATAATGGCCTCTAGCTCTATCCATGTTGCTGCAAAGTACATTATATCATTCTTTTTTATGGCTGTGTAGTATTCCATTGTGTATATGTATGACATTTTCTTTATTCATTCTACTGTTGATGGACATCTAGGTTGATTCCGTGCCTTTGTCTATTGTGAATAGTTCTGCAAGAAACATATACGTGCATGTGTCTTTATGGTGGAATGATTTATTTTCCTTTGGGTATATACCCAATAATGGGATGCTGAGTTGAATGGTCGTTCTCTTTTAAGTTCTTTGAGAAATCTCCAAACTGCTTTCCACAGTGGCTGAACTAACTTATATTCCCATTGGCAGTGTATAAGCACTCCTTTTTCTTTGCAACCTCTCTAGCATCTGTTATTTTTTGACTTTTCAATAATAGTCATTCTCACTGGTGTGAGATGGTATCTCGTGGTTTTGATTTACATTTCTCTAGTGATTAGTGATGTTGAGCATTTTTTCATATGCTTGCTGGCTGCATGGTATGTCTTCTATTGAAAAGTGTCTGTTCATCTCTTTGTACACTTTTTAATAGGGTTGTTTGTTTTTCTGCTTGTTAATTTGTGTAAGTTCCTTATAGATTCTAGATATTAGACCTTTGTCAGATGCATCATTTACAAATACTTTATCTCATTTGGTAGGTTGTCTGTTTACTCTGTTGATAGTTTCTTTTGTTGTGCGAAAGTTGTTTGGTTTAATTAGGTCCCATTTGTCAATTTTTGTTTTTGTCGCAATTGCTTTTTGTGTCTTTGTCTGAAATCTTTGCCACGACCCATGTCCAGAGTGGTATTCCCTAGATTTTCTTCAAGGATTTTTATAGTTTTAGGTTTTACATTTAAGTCTTTAATCCATCTTGAGTTGGTTTTTGTATATGGTATAAGAAAGGGGTCTAGTTTCAATCTTCTGCATATGGCTAGCCAGTTATCCCAGCACCATTTATTGAATAGGGAGTCCTTTCCCCATTGCTTGTTTTTGTCAGCTTTGTTGAAGATCAGATGGTTGTACGTGTGCAGCTTTATTTTGGGCTATTTTGTTCCATTGGACTGTGTGTCTGTTTTTGTACCAGTAGCATGCTGCTTTGGTTACTGTATCCTTGTAGTGTAATTTGAAGTTGGGTAATGTGATGCCTCCAGCTTTGTTCTTTTTGCTTAGGATTGCTTTGGCTATTCAGGATCTTTTTTGGTTCTATATGAATTTTAGAATAGTTTTTTCTAATTCTGTGAAGAATGTCATTGGTAGTTTGATAGGAATAGCATTGAATCTATAAAAACTTTGGGCAGTACAGCCATTCTAACAACATTGATTCTTCCTATCCATGAGCATGGAATGTTTTTTTATTTGTGTCATCTCTGACTTTTTTGAGCAGTGTTTTGTAATTCTGATTGTAGAGATCTTTCACCTCCCTGGTTAGTTGTATTCCTAAGTATTTTATTTTTTTTATGGCTATTGTGAATGGGATTACGTTCCTGATTTGGCACTCAGCTTGAATGCTGTTGGTGTGTAGAAATGCTGATGATTTTTGTACACTGATTTTATATCTTGAAACTTTGCTGAAGTTGTTTATCAGATCTAGGAACTTTTGAGCAGAGACTGTGGTATTTTTTAGGTATAAAATCATATAATCTGAAACAGTTTGACTCCTCTTTTTCTATTTGGATGTCTTTTATTTCTTTCTCTTTATTGATTGCTCTGGCTAGGACTTCCAATACTATGTTGAGTAGGAGTGGTGATACTGGACATCTTTGTCCTGTTTTGATTCTCAAGGGGAATGCTTCCAGCTTTTGCCCATTCGGTATGATGTTGGCTATGCATTTTTCATGGATGACTCTTATTTTTTGGAGGTATATTGCTTCAATGCCTAGTTTGTTGAGGGTTTTTAACATGAAGAGATATTGAATTTTGTTAAAAGCCTTTTCTGCATCTATTGAGATGATCATGTGGTTTTTGTGTTTAGTTCTGTTTATGTGATGAATCACACTTATTGATTTGCATATTTGAACCAACCTCACATTCCAGGGATAAAGCCTGCGTGATTGTAGTTGATTAGCTTTTTGATATGCTGCTGGATTTGGTCTGATAGTATTTTATTGAGAATTTTTGTATCTGTGTTCTTCAAGGATATTGGCCTGAAGTTTTCTTTTTTTATTGTGTTTCTGCTAGGTTTTGGTAGCAGAATGATTCTGGCCTCACAGAATGAGTTAGAGAGGAGTCCAACGTCCTCAATTTTTTGGAATAGTTTCAATAGGAATGATATCAGCTCTTCTTTATATGTCTGGTAGAATGCAGCTGTGAATCCATTTGGTCCTGGGTTTTTTCTGATTGACCTTTTTTTTTCTGGTTCATAGGCTTTTTATTACTGATTCAATTTTGGAAGTCATTATTGAACTGTTCAGGGCTTCACTTTCTTCTTGGTTCAATCTTGGGAGCTTGTATGTTTCCAGGAATTTATCCATTTCTTGTGGGTTTTCTAGTTTGTGTACATAGAAGTGTTCATAGTAGTCTCTGAGGGGTTTTTTGTATTTCTATGGGGTCAGTGGGAGTAATGTCCCCTTTGTAATTTCTTTTTGAGATGGAGTCTCCCTCTGTCACCCAGGCTGGAGCCTGGAGTGCAGTGGCACGATCTTAGCTCAATGCAACTTCCACCTCCTGGGTTCAAGCAATTCTCCTGCCTCAGACTCCCCAGTAGCTAGGACTACAGGCGTGAGCCATCACACCTGGCTAATTTTTGTATTTTTAGTAGAGACAGGGTTTCACCATATTGGCCAAGCTGGTCTCGAACTCCTGACCTCAAGTGATCCGCCCACCTCGGCCTCTCAAAGTCCTGGGATTACAGTCGTGAGCCACCACGCCTGGCCTGTAATTTCTCATTGTGTTTATTTAGTCTTCTCTGTTTTTTCTTTGTTAGTCTAGCTATCAATCTATCAGTCTTATTTATTCCTTTAAAAAGCTAACTTCTGATTTTGTTAATCTTTTATATGGTTTTTTACATCTCAATTTCAGTTCAGCTCTGATTTTGGTTATTTCTTATCTTCTGCTACCTTTGGAGTTGTGAGTGCTTAGTGCTATAAATTTTCCTCTTAACACTGCTTTAGCTGTGTCCCAGCTGTATATCTGTTATATCTTTAGAACCTGTTCGTTTAATCCTTACGCTGTATGTTGCCTCTTTTGGACATGCGGTTCTGGGTCATGAACTGCAAATCTCCTTTGTCATCTCTTTGAAAGACATCAGGAAAGATTTAACTTAATTCTCAGTGCTTTCTCTTTGAAATTTTTTCATTTATTTTTAAATACCAGCCATATATTTTCTTTAGGGGCAAACCATCATTTATTTAACATTGTTTTCTCTACTGTTTTATATTTTGTTTCTTTACAGCTTTTTTGTTTTTAAAATATGCTTCCATGAGCATCTTTGCCAATATAAAACCTTTTATTATTTCATTAGAATAAGTATCCAGATGTGGAGTGTCATAAGTTATGATCACTTTAGTGGATATTGAAATACAGAAAAATTACTTTTTAGAGGAATTTTTTTTTTTTTTTTTTTGAGACAGGATCTCACTCCCATTGCTCAGGTTGGAGTGCAGTGGCACAATCATGGCTCACTCCAGCCTTGACCTCCTGAACTCAGGTGATCCTCCCACCTCAGCCCCCCTAGTAGCTGGAACTACAGGTGTGCACCACCACACCGAGCTAATTTTTGTATTTTTTGTAGAGACGGGTTTTACCATATTGCCCAGCCTAGTCTTGAACTCTTGGGCTCAAGCAATCCTCCCACCTCGGCCTCCCAAAGTTCTGGAAATACAGGTGTGAGCCACTGTGCCTGGCTTAGGAGTGCATTTTTTTTTTACATTAAAAAATTAAAAGTTTCTCATATTCAATTGGAAGAACCAGGGATTCTTTCATTAACCAGAGACTGAAGAGTGAGTATATAACTGAAGAATTGTTCCTACAATCTTTTCTGATATCTGTCAAATAGAGGATAAAGGAGATTTGCATTGCATAACCCAAAAACACACACCCAAGAGACACAACTTACAGTGTAGGGATTAAATGAAGGTAACTGAAGTCATTTCCAGACATACTGATGTGGAATGTCAGAATAGTATGTTTTGGGCTCACTTCAGTACACTTGTTTTGAAGGGGATTTTGCGTTGGTATGTCCTAATGAATTCTAGCTGTGTTGTTCTAATGCATTCTACTAAGAACCAATTGAGATACTCCATTTTGAATAGATACCTAGTCAGTTGAAATGTCATAAAGCAAAGTAAAAAGAAGAAATGAAAATCCTATCTCTTTTCCCAGTACTTGTTATTTGTTATATCCCAGATAGTTGTTTGTTGTTTGTTTTTTTTTAATTAGATGATGTTTTGTAGGTGACTTTTGTATAGAATACTTTATCATCTTTCAGAATGAATAATGTATTACAATGGTGATTTCATAGAAAGGAAACAGTAATTAGAATATTAGTGTGACTGGTTCCCTTATGAACTCACACCTGCCTTCTACATTATCTAAGTCTGTAGTCTGTCTTCCTCACTCATGAGATAGTACTTGTTGGTTGTGTTAGAATTTGGCTCAGCTGCTGTAACAAAGATACCCTAAAAGTACAGTGGCTTAAATAATGTAGAAATTTATTTTTCTCTCATATAAAGTTCCAAGGTGTGTGGTCTAGGTATATGGAGCAGCTCTGTTCCATGTAGCCATTCAGGAACTCAGGCTCCTGTACTTTTTTTTTGTTGTTGTTGTTGATACAGAGTCTCACTCTGTCGGCCAGGCTGGAGTGCAGTGGCACAATTTCGGCTCACTGCAACCTCTGTCTTCCGGGCTCAAGCAATTCTCTTGCCTCAGCCTCCTGCGTAGCTGGGATTACAGACGTGTGCTACCACGCCTGGCTCATTTTTGTATTTTTAGTAGAGATGGGATTTTTCACCATGCTGGCCAGGCTGGTCTCAAACTCCTGACCTCAAATGATCCACCCACCTTGGCCTCCCAAAGTGCTGGGATTACAGGTGTGAGCCACCACGCCTGCGTTTTCTACTTTTTAAAATCTGTCATCCCTTAGGATATAGTCGTTGTCTATAATGAAGAAACGCCTTTGCCATTCTGAATTCCAGTTCGTTGGAAAGAGAAAGAGAGGAAGTCTGGGCAAATAATTTCCTCTTGACTCAGAAGTTGCACATACTTCCACTTATATTCCTTTAGTGAGAACTTAGTTAAATAGACATACCTCACTGTAAAGAAGACTTAGATGTGTAGTTTTAGCTTGGCAGCCTTGTTTCCAGGAAGAAGAGGAGAATAGATTTTGGTGGGTGAGTAGAAGTCTGTGCCACATTGTCTAGGATACTAGGTTCTAGAGTCAGACAGACATAAATTCCAATCTTGGCTCTGCCACTAGAGTCAAGAACAAATGATTTACCTTCTCAGTTTTCTATTGGAAAAATGGAAATAATTTCTATTATGGGATTGCTATAAGAAGTAAATTAAATGTGCAAGTACATGCAAAGTGCTTAAGAAAAAAGCATTGATGGTAAAGCACAGAGCACAGGGAATCTGACTGATTGAGTTAAAATTCTGGCTCTGCCTTTGCTAGCTATGTGCCTTTAGATAAGTTACACAGAATTCTCTGAGATCTACTTTCCTGTCTTATACAATGGAGATATTACTAGTGACTACCTCCTGGAGTTATAGAAAGGATTCAACAACATCCTCTGTGCTGGACTTATTAAAATTATTTATCCATGCATGATAAACCACCTTGATCTTCTCACGCTTATTATTATATTTGTTTATTTGTCAATTCCTGAGTTTATCTGCAAAAAAGAAGTAGTAAAATTGAAGTGTGTCAAGTTGCACCTGTCATGAGTTGCTGCATTCTTTCATACCCCTTGTTACTGTTTCCTCCTACATCCTGATAACATGTTTGTTTGTTCATGTATCTTTAGTTTGTGTTCTAGTTCCACTTTCATTTCTTGGGTAACCATCTACTGATGACTTTATATCCTAAGTCACATAGATGAAGCTATTTAGTGTGAATTCCACAGCTTGTCTCAGGTATTGAGCACATTTTTTTTTTCATAATGGCCTCAATCTCATGCAACCATTTCAGATGGCTTAAGCCAGCAAAAATCTCTCTTTGGATAGCTAAGGAATGCAGTAAACACGGGAGATACAAGGAATGATACACAACTTTCTATCCTCAGGGTTTCTGTCGTAGATCATTGCAATGACTCTGGATTACATTTTTCAGGTCAGATTTGGGGATTTATTTGCAGAACTTTACTTATCTGGTTTTATACAGATAACCTGAAACCCCTTGATTGTTCCTCTTCACCTCAAGGACCCTTCCACAAGCCCCACATGACTGCAGGTACACATTACCCATCTTGTCACCCACTACTTACAGAGCTGACATGCTGCTGCTTGGCCCCATTGTGCTATCCCTGAGTACTGTGGCATTCATCCTGGCTCCAATGGTGTAAAATGAGGGGGTATGAATGCCTTTTTCAAACTCAAGACTAGCAAAAGACAAAACCCCCTTTTGTTTGAAGCCACTGGAAATATAGTCTTAGTTCTTGCTCTTTTAGAGAAACTATGGGGTGGGCCCTTTTCTCCTCTATACCCCCACCCGCTGGCAGCAGTAGTTTTTGCATGGAGTAATTGAGCAAATCCAACGTATAAAAGGTAGGATTATCAAAGTGAATGAACGAATGCTTACCTAGCAGAACTGTAAGACATGGAAAAATAGGAAGACAAGCTAATGATCTAGAAATTGTATAGCTTTGCTGTCTTAGAATCATGGCAAATGGAACATATGGCATTGGGTCATTTTTTGCATTGATTTGAAAAGAAAATGAGTTTATTTTACAAATAAATGGAGTTTGTGTTTCTGTTTGCTATTCATGACTGTAATGTTTACTTCTCTTGAAACAGAAATCTGTCACCTAAATATTAAATATAGAGAAAGATTTTTTCAGCTATTAATGAAGAATTTTTCTTTACATGCCGTGCCTTCATCCACTTCAATAACCTTTTTATGCTTTTCCCTTTGTTTGCTATTATTTTGTCTGATGAGTTTGTCTGTGAACAGAGACATCTTAAGAGAAAAAAAGGAATTGGTGAAAAGACAGACATGTTAAAATTGTTATTTGCCTGAGCATTAGAATTTTAGATTAAGGCCTAGAATCAAATTCAGTTTATTTTCTCATAGATTTTATGATACATGTTGTTTTCATTTCCTATTTTGAGATTTAGGATAGGCCCAGAATTGTAATAAAGTTGCCATTTAAAAACCTTCCATTCATTGTTATCCTAGTAGACATGTATTATTTTTCTCTTCCAAACATCCTGTATTTCAGATAACAGAAGCCCTCTTTTCATGTAGAAATGATCCTTGCCCTATTCTCAGTTTGTGTGATCCAAGCCTAGTCATACAAAGTCTATAGTAATTGAGTTAATTATGGGTTTGTGTCTGAAGCTAGGTTAGTCTAAGTCGATTAAGAAACTTTTGAGAAAAATGGAGTTCTCTGCCCATTGACATTGCTGGGCTAGAGAAGAAAGTATGAAACTGACAGAGGTGAGCTTGGCTTCCACATGGTGAGAGTCTGCCTGAGACTGAAGCCAGCTCAGGAAAAATTGACCCAAGAGATACAGAAAGATTTCTGACCATATTGTTTGAGCATCCATGCTGGAAGTAAGATTTATTCCTGCCATCGTGTTTCTTATTTTTCCCCATCAAACTCTCTAGTTGAGTTTCTTTCTCTTGCAATTGAAAGAGTTCTGGTCAATACAAGCATCATCATTTTTCTCAGAGAGCATTTATTCGATTCCTGGGTTATTGTGTATTAACCACTTAAAAATAGTTTCACATGTAACGGGAAAATACAGTATTAATACAATGTTAGGACTGGAAGGGCGGTGGGGCGCAGTAGCTCAAGTCTGTAATCCAGGCACTTTGGGAGGCCAAGGTGGGTGGATCACCTGAGGTCAGGAGTTTGAGACCAGCCTGACCAATGTGATGAAACCTCATCTCTACTAAAAATACAAAAATTAGCCAGGCATGGTGGCACATGCCTGTAATTCTAGCTACTCCAGAGGCTGAGGCAGGAGAATTGCTTGAACCCAGGAGGCAGAGGTTGCAGTGAGCTGAGATCGCTCCACTGCACTCCAGCCTGGGCAGCAGAATGAGACTCCATCTCACACACACACACACACACACAAACTGGAAATGTTACCTAGTCCAGTCTCCCTTTTAATGCAGAATTCCCCTTAATCTCCTTCACTTATAGGCAGCCTAGAATCAAAATCACTTTAATTTTCCAAGGATTTCAAGATACAACAATGCTTTTATTTTTTATTCTTAGTTTCAGAATAGGCCCTGAATATCATTATGGTCTTTTCTTAAAAAAATTCACCACCATGTCAAGTAACTCACTCCCTTACAAACTAGTGCATTCCAATTCTGGAAAGTTCTGATTCTCAAGAAGGTTTTCTCTTTTATTGAGTTAAAATCTATTTTATTTTACTTCAGTCATAGGTCCTAATTCTGCTTGGAACCATGCAAAATAAAGTGATGGCACATCAGATAAGTGAAATGCCAGTCACATTTCTACTGTGTCTTCTTTGCTCTCAGCTACAGAACCCAAGTTCCTTCTCCCATCCTTCACAGAATGGGGATATCTACACCAGCTTGCTTGCCCTCACCTCAATTTCTTTCTTTTTGTTAAATGTGCCTTTTAACCTGGGACCAGAACTGAGCTAACACTTCCTTTGTTTTGCTCTAGACACTTACGTGAGTACAGCCTTATACTGAATTACATTTTAGGGCTTCTGTTTTATAATGAGTTTGCTGTGAACTAGTACCCTCTTTACATCCTCTCATCTCCCTTCCAACCAAACAACTCTTAAGCCAGGTCTGTGTTTGAGTTTTGACTATTTGAATCTGTATTAGGACTTTGCAAACAACCATAAGCTTTGTTCCTCTAAATATCCAACACTGTGGGAAGGGCTTTTTTTTTCCCATGTGTTTCTGCTTTATTGGTACTTTTACTGCCTAGAAGGATGTAAGACAGTGGTGAAAGAGTCAATCTGCTACTTGGGCCACTAAAATAGGCCACTGAACAGATAAGTGTATTCATTTTATCTATTAGGAACTGTATCCACATGTGGGTAAGAAAGACCTAAAAGAGTGGCCTAATCGAGACCATCCTGGCCAACATGGTGAAACCCCATCTCTACTAAAAATACAAAAATTAGCTGGGCGTGGTGGCACATGCCTGTAGTCCCAGCTACTCGGGAGGCTGAGGCAGGAGAATCGCTTGAACCTGGGAGGCAGAGGTTGCAGTGAGCCGAGATCTGCAGTGAGTTGAGATCGCACCACTGCACCACTCCAGCCACTGGCGACAGAGCAAGACTCTGTCTCAAAAAAAAAAAAAAAAAAAAAAAAAAAAGAGTGGCTTAAATACACATTATAGAAGAAGTGTGGAAAGAGGCAGCCAGAGCTGGTATGACGTTTCCATACATCCATGAAGGACTAAGCCTCCTTCTGTATTTGTCTTCTACTATCCCATTACTTGGCTTCCATGGCTTCATGGTCTAAGAGGGCTCTTTCTAATATTTTGTCCACATTCCAGACAGTAGTAGGGAAAAAGGTTGCTTCTCCAAACTGTCAGCTCCTTTTAAGGTGCTGTCTTCAAGTCCCCACAGTCTTTTCATTTATATCTCATGGGGCAGTATTTAATCATGGACACAGCTAGCTACAAGGAAGGCTGGGAAATATGGCCTTTTGTTCTGGGCAGCTGCACAACCAGCCAAAATTTGGGGTTCTACAACTACAAAAGAAGTGAAAATGGATCTTTAGAGACCACCAGCCACATTCATGGAAAACAATATTGAAGGATTTTCCTTCTTGCCTTGGAAATAAAGAGTGATAAAAGATCTACTTAATTTGGACAAATCTCCCCACTTTTAGACGAACTTTAGGTTTGGTTATGCCCTGTTTTCCTCTCCAGGAATTTCCTTCTAGCCCTATGCGAAAGGTTAAAATATAGCTGTGTTTTCAGTCCTTCCTTCTCCTTTCATTGCTGCCTAGTTAGCATTAATACAGGGACAAAGATGAAAATTGTTAGAGCTGAGTGCAAGTTTGAATTAAATCTAACCCCTTCTTTCATGCACCAAGTATGAGGTCTAGTCTTTCCTTCCTTAATAACAACTGGCAATAGTTAAACCTTATATAATGTTTAATACAGGCAGTCCTTGTTTTGCATAGTTCTGATATGCACAAATTTCACTTACTACAGTTTAATTAAATAACACCAGTCCCTCAACAATATGATTCAAATTTTAGTTACCACATATATTAGCTGTGAGCAATTGCATGAAGTACAGACTTTGCTGCTAGCTCTTTAGTTCCACCAAGTCACTATATAAGTAACAGATGTGCATCATGATTGGTGACTAATCCGTCACTTCTTTCGAAGTCTTTCAGTGATTGGTCACTGTGCATCTGTTATTTAGTTCACAAACAGACAACAAAGTGTGGAGTTTATTATCTTGTTTCTTAGTGGTAAACCTGAGCAACATTGTACAAATGTGGAAAATTGAAAGAGGGAATTGGCCAAAAGAAAAAAAGAAGATGCAAAAAAGAAACGAAAAAATAGGGCCGGGCGTGGTGGCTCATGCCTGTAATACCAGCACTTTCGGAGGCTGAGGTGGGTGGATCACGAGATCAGGAGATCAAGACCATCTTGATCTCTTGATCAATGTGGTGAAAACCCGTCTCTACTAAAATACAAAAAAATTAGCCAGGCGTGGTGGCATGTGCCTGTAATCCCAGCTACTTGGGAGGCTGAGGCAGGGGAATTGCTTGAACCTGGGAGGCGGAGGTTGTGGTGAGCTGAGATTGCGCCACTGCACTCCAGCCTGGCGACAGAGCAAGACTCCGTCTCAAAAAAAAAAAAAAAAAAAGAAAAAAGAAAAAATGATAACACTGGAAATGAAGTTTGAATCAAACATAAATGTAGTTACAGAAGAAACAGCTGATCATGGGAATGTTGACACTACTGCCTTTTGAAAGACACGCAATCAGAAGAATCTGTTCAAGGCAAAGTTACTGACATAAATGAGGAAGGTGGTTGTAATGAAGGGATCAACATATCCCAGAGGAAATGATTCTGGAAAAAATCTTCACATTAAAGGAACCCTTGGAGATATTTTGTGGCATTGAAAGCGTAAGGGATAAAATGTTGGAAGCTGACCCAAACTTTGAAAGGAGTATGACAATTTGCCAAGGCATAGGAAAGATGCTCACTCCATATTGTAAATTATATGATGATAAAAAAGCAAGCATTGTTCAAATGAATATTGTTAAGCTCTTTACAAATAAATCAAGCATTTTATTCTCAATGTTACTAACACTTTAGATCAACATAGAAAACAAACATTCATTTTACTATTTCTTCCATTTTTCTTCATATTTATAACCAATAGGGAGAGAGTTTTTTAATGTTTTGACAATATTTTTAAAGGTCAAGGAAATATGATAATTTTTCCTGTTCATTATTAAAAAGTTTGGCACAGTTTCAACTTGCATGGCCATTTTTATGATCCTGCACTACAGTGCAAAGTGAGGATGGCCTGAAGTTCATGGAGTTACACTGTTTAATATTCACAACAATTCTGCAACTCAGGGCAGATATTGTCACTCCCCTTTTTATTTTGAATGAAAATCACAGAGATTAATTAAGTTCAAAATTGCACAGCTAAGTAACCTGCAGGTCTGGAACCAAGGCAGTTTCACTTTAAATTTTGTGCTTCTTATACCCTCACTACCACAACACCCACATTCTTTCCGATTAATCCCATTGAGATGTGAGGTATAAACAGGGAAAATGTCCCAGATGTTAAGGCCTCAACAATCTAATGTGTTTTGTGTCACATTACACTGATTGTGGATCAGTTAGTGTCCTTATGTCACAAGCAACAAACACCAAGCCCAACATGGTAGATTGCTTACAGTAAGAGACCCCAGTGATTCATTTTTTCTTGTATCCACTTTTCTTGGAAAGGTTTCTTGGTCACTTCTCTAATTAAGATGGAATCTATTCTCCTATCCCTTGAATCTAGGCTGATTTAAAAATTATATTTGACGAATAGAATGTAGGAAAAGGGAAGTTGCAGTTTTTCCTTTCATCCTCTCAGAACATTTCTCCATCATGCAATGAAGCCTTGTTTAATTTACTTGAGAATGAGAGGACACAGGGAGAACTAAGGTGCTCCAGCCGGCACTTCATTTGGTTTCTACAAAGTGAGCGAGTGAGGCCATTTGGGATCAGTCAGCCCCCAGCTGATCTGCCCACTGATTGCAGATGCTTAAGTGAATCCAGCTGACACCACATGGAGCGGAGCTACACCATCCCATCTGAGCCCTATCCTAATTGCCAATTCATAGAATGGTGAGTATATAAATGATTATTATCTTAAGCTGTTAAGTTTTGGAATGGATTGTTATGTGGCAAACCACTAAAGTAAAAAAGGGAATTTACTGGACGAATATGGGGTTGTTTGCAGGATTGAAGGGAAAGCTGAAGAACAGAAAACTTTGTAGAAGAAATTACTGCTTCTAGAGAGAATGAATGCTAGCTGTTTGTTTTGCTCCTGTGTTGTTCTGCTAGAGAAGTCCTGGGGGAGAAAAGTTGGTAGGTCACATGTCCATCCTATGGATGTATTGATTTATGAAGGGAAAGCCTGGAAGAAGAAACTTTCTGGTTCTTCTTAAACTTTGTAGTTTGGGGAGGCAAACACTTAGATTTATCCCCCCAAATTGAATGCAGATACTTCTAAAAGAAATCAGGTGTTGTAAAAGAGGAGGAGTGGATGCTGGACATCTTCAGAATGACAACTGTCCATTAGAGTAACTTCTCTGATGAAGGTTTAAAAACATTTTTTTTTTTTTTTTTCTGAGACAGGGTCTCACTCCATCACCCAGGCTGGAGTGCAGTGGCATGATCTCGGCTCACTGCAACCTCTGCTTCCCAGGTTCAAGCGATTCTCCTGACTCAGCCTCTTAAATGGCTGGGATTACAGGTGTGCGCCACCACGCCTGGCTAATTTTTGTATTTTTAGTAGAGACCGGGTTTCACCATGTTAACCAGGATGGTCTCAAATTCCTGACCTCGTGATCTGCCCGCCTCGGCCTCCCAAAGTGCTGGGATTACAGGCGTGAGCCACCGCGCCTGGCCCTTGAAAACATTTAAAAGTCTACACAGTTTGTTATTTCATGGCAAATAAGTTGTGGGAAATTGAAGGAATTTTATACCCACATAGTAGGCTTATAATTCAACATATGGAGAGAAATTGCATCTTAGACTCATAGAAGATTAAATGTATAAAGGACATTAGAACTCAGTGAGGCCAAGCCCCTCAGTTTATAGATGAAGAAACTGAGTCAAAGGTGATTAGGTGAAGGGTAAATTAAGGTCATGACAAAACCAGGACTAGAACCTGGATTTAAAAAAATAGCCTTAGTGGGATTTGGGAAGGAAAAGAAAATGCATGTGGTATGTTTGAAATTTGCATTACCTTTCTTTTTGGGTATTCTTAGAGTCAAGACTCTTTTGAAAGCCTCCCCTGACTATGTGTGGTGCTCTCCTATCCTCCCTCCTGACCCTCCCACTACCCATCATTTCTTTCCCATTCCCAAACTCATTCAAGGGTGTGTTTCAGACAAATATTGCTCTGGGACAATCTAACCCTGAAAAATCAGAAAAGGTTGACTGACATCCAACAGCCAAGCCAACTGGCGCTTGAGTCAGGGTAACATTGTCCTGTCAAGATTGAAACATTCTTAAAACTTCATCTTGGTAGCAGCTACACTGTATTTTCCATTTTTTTGAACCTCCTAGATTTTTGAAGGATATTTGCATAAAAATAGCATTTTCGGCTAGGCGCAGTTGGTCATGCCTGTAATCCCAGCACTTTGGGAGGCCAAGGTGGGTGGATCACAAGGTCAGCTGTTTGAGACCAGCCTGACCAACATAGTGAAACCCCATCTCTACTAAAAATACAAAAAAATTAGTTGGGCGTGGTGACAGGCACCTGTAATCCCAACTACTCAGGAAGCTGAGGCAGGAGAATCACTTGAACCTGGGAGGTGGAAGTTGCAGTGAGTCAAGATCGTGCCACTACACTCCAGCTGGGGTGACAATGCGAGACTCTGTCTCAAAAAAAAAAAAAAAAAAAAAAGCATCTTCACACTCTTGGCAGTTCCTGAGGAGTACTGTTCCTTTAAACTCTTAATCCTGTTAGTGAGGCATGTCGATTAGACTGTATCATGGGAGATTATGGCATCTGAGAAGAAATAGCCAGTTGGAGAAGCTGAAACTCTGTATGAACATAGACCTATCTAGGAAAAAACACTCTGATTGCTATTAATGAAAACCATTATAAGAAATAAAAACAAGAGGGTAATGGGAAAGAACATATAGATGGAAAAATATTGCAAAATTGAGTTTAAAGAGTATTTGGATCTAAGATCTGGAAGAATAATAAGAAATCAGTAACAGTGGTTGCCTCTGGGAAGGAGAACGGGTGGCTGGAGATCTGGATAGGAGAGGTACTTTTCAGTTGTGAACATGTCTCGAAATGTATTGCCTGCTCAGAAGGAAATCAACGAAGTAAGTATGAAGTGCTGCAAATAGTTACTTTACCAAAAGCAAGTATTTGGATTTGAGAACTTCCATTGTGTTTGTTAACATTTCAAACACGTTTTATAAATGGCTTTGGGGAAGGAGTTTTAAAAGCATCTCATTTAGCTTTGTTCTCTTGACTAATTATTAAGTAATATGGTGTCTCAGTTTGTTTTGTGCTGCTATAACAGAATACCACAGACTGGGTAATTGATAAAGAACAGAAGTTTATTTCTCACAGTTCTGAAGGTGAGGGGTCTAAGGTCCGGGGGCCAGCATCTGAAGAGGACCTTCTTGCTGCATTATTCCAATGTGGAAGGCGGAAGGACAAGAGAGTGTGGGAGTAGGGAGGGGGAAGGAAGGGGGCCAAACCACTCCTTTCACTCCTTTCCTTGCTAACAAATTAATACACTCATGAGGGCAAAGCCCTCATGACCCAATCACCTCTTAAATTCCCACCTCTCAACACTGTTGCATTGGGAATTGTTTCTGACACATGAACTTTGGGGGGCACATTCAAATCATAGCATATGGGGTTTTCTTTGCCTAAACATTTGGTTGTTGCTACCCTTAAGGGTTTTCTTTTTTCCCTCAATACATCATTTCAGTATTTTCTACTTTGGCATTAATCGATTTTTTAGTCCTGTTGAAGACTGACAAATAAATAAAATCCCATTTTCCATCTTTGTAGTCTTCTTGCACACTATTGGATAATTTAAAAATACTTCCCAACCCCCTTTTTTTAATTGTATCTCCCTTCTCCTCTTAAAATGTGGTCTTTCTATGTAATGGACCAATTGTTCTCCTGCTAAGGTAGATTATTTTGCCATTTGTTGGCTGTTTCAGTGTGTAATGAGTTAGTTAAATCAAGGTTTGTGACTCTAAAGGTTCCACACTGGCAAATATGGAGATAGCGGTTCTCAGTGGGTTCAGCTTAATGGAGATTTTTCCATTTTGAAAGACATGATCTTTGATGTTTTTACCATGGTTTTGCCTCCTCTAGAAATAATACCAGGGTTGCCTTTATTTCTGATAGGAGAGGGTCTATAGAAAGAAAGGATGTTGGCTTCAAGGTACAGGTTTTGGCAGATTCAGTGCCATCTCATTGGTTACAAAGCCTTCCTGGAAAGCATGCAATTATCCAGCTTGCACAGCACAATTAAGTAAACAATTCATTTAGTCTCTCTATCCATTGCAGAGGGACTGGGGTGGCTTGGGAGATTGGAAATGGGAGCTGTAGCCTTTTCTTTTGACGTAGGTGATTTGGATCTGTTAGCGTAGTGACCACAGAGTGTTTCCATCTGATGGCTGTGTGGCGACCCATGTAAAACAGACTGGTGGTTTCAGGCCCTTGGAGAGGCAGTCACATCTCAACATCCAGGATCCCAGCTGGCAGAAATATGTGAGGATTATACCGACGTGATTCTATTCAGTTTGTGCCTTAGTGAAATTCGTATCTTGAAAATCCTGCTTGAATCAAAGTGAGATTTAGTGTACCTTCGTAAAGCTCTGAGCGAAGGTCTCAGCCTTCTACGTTTGTTGTATGATTAGCACACTTGGCCTGTTTACTTTGGCTTAGAGGCTTTAGGAATCTTTAGGTTTTTAAGATTTCTCCCAGTTCTCTCCAACATTTGTGAATGCCAGGGATAATATATTTACTCACAGTTAGTACAAACTGCTTGAAGAAACATGATATTTGGATATAGGATTCTGTTTTCAACTTGTAGTAAATCATGGCACATCTTGGTAGTTTTAGGCTGAATGAGGCTTCTTGTAAACTAAAAAGATATGCTTACAAACTGGAAAGTGCCATTAGGACCTAAGATATTCCTTAAACTGGCCTGGAAGGCCATGTTACTTGATCCACTGGTTTTCCCTAGCATTTTTGTTTTCCAACCCTAGTATTTAACAGTCCTCTACACTCCCACCCCCTCCCTTCACACACAGACACACACACGCACTTACTAATTCTATTGCTTTTTCTAGTTGGAAGAGGCAATCCACATCTAGGCCTCAGGTAGCATTTCAAAACTGAATGAGATTCTTATACAAGGCATATATGTGAGAGTGTGTGCTCAAAATCTCAGGGTGCCATAGTTGCCAATGACATCTGCAATATGCTGTAATATATTTTATTTTAATTTTTCCTGGTTTTAATTAATTACTAAATCCACTAATTTTTGAATTAAAAATTTTTTTGACTTTTAATTTAGGTTCAGGGGTCACATGTACAGGTTTGTTACATGGGTAAATTGCATGTTGCTTTGGTTTGGTGTACAAAGGATCCCATCACCCAGGTAGTGAGTATAGTATCTGATACGTAGTTTTTCAGCACACGTCCTCCTCCCACCCTCCCACCTCAAGTAGTACCCAGTGTCTGTTATTCCCATCTTTACGTCCATGTGTATTTAATGTTTAGCTCCCACCTGTAAGTTAGAACATGTGTTATTTGCTTTTCTGTTATTGTGTTAATTTGCTTAGGATAATGGCCTTCAGCTGCATCCATGTTGCTGCAAAAGAAATGATCTCATTCTTTTTAAGACTGCATAGTATTCCATGGGGGTATAGGTACCACATTTTCTTCTTTTCTTTTTCTTTCTTTCTTTCTTTCTTTCTTTCTTTCTTTCTTTCTTTCTTTCTTTTTCTTTTTCTTTCTTTCTTCCTCTTTCCTTCCTTCCATCTCTCCCTCCCTTCCTTCCTTCTTCTTCTTTCTTTTCTTTTTCTTTTCCTTTCTTTCTCTTTCTCTCTCTCTTCCTTTCCTTCCTTCCTTCTTCCTTCCTTTCTTCCTTTCTCCCTTCCTTCCCCCCCACTTTCCTTCCCTTCCCTCCCCCTTCCCCTTCCCATTCCCCTTCCCCTTCCCTTCCCTTTTCTTTTCTTTTCTTTTCTTTTCTTTCTTTTTTTTTTTTCTTCAGGATCTCCCTCTATTGCCCAGGCTGGAGTGCAGTGGCGCAATTATGCATTACTGCAGCCTTGACCTCTGGGGCTCAGGTGATCCTCCCATCTCTGCAGGCGCATGCCACCATGCCCAGCTAATTTTTTTTTTTTTTTTTGGTATTTTTGTACAGATGGGGTTTCTCCTTGTTGCCCAGGTCAGTCTTGAACTCCTGAGCTCAAGCGATCCACCTGCATCGGCCTTCTACTAAAGTGCTGGGATTACAGGCATGAGCCACCGTGCTGGCTGTACCACATTTTCTTTATCCAGTCCATCGTTGATGGGCATGCTGTGATATTTTAGACAGTGACCATTTGCCTAAGGATTCTTTGAAGACACACAACAGGTGTTGCAGTGTTGGGCAGAAATCTTAATAAAATATGGATAATAAAATCTTCTTTAGAGCCTAAGAGGATGCCACAGCCTTAGTCACTGGAATGTCTAGGCCCTTCTTTTCCACCAACCCATCTATCCCTAATATTTTGTCGTGGTCTAAAGGCTTTCCTAAGGATTGGATGTCTCTTGGTGTGAACACCAAAGAGGCCTGAGTTTTCTGAATTGTGACTTGTCAATGTCATGCATCCTATTTCAGATGAAACACGCTCCTCCCCATCTCTCCTGGGAAGCCCCACCCACCTTTCCTCTTCCTTTTCCATTTATGCAGCTGCCTGGCAGCCCACCTGGTAGGTGATAAGTGTAACTGATGGAGAAGTCCACATGTGAGCTAATTAGCTCTGTGGAAGTTGGGAGCATACTGACGCATCTGCTGCGGTTCTGGGAAGCTATGTGTGGGGTGGGGGAGTGGAAAGCAGGGCCAGGAAACAACCCTTCTCCAGAGTGGTCTGTGATTGGCTGCATGCCAGATCATTTTCAACTAGAGGCTTCTTAGCAAGTGAGATCAGTAGGCACCCACCAGTTCCTGTCTGGAGTCATGGTGGGGCTATGAAAGTCGTGGGTGGGGTGGAAGGGAGTGCTAGGGGGAGGGAAAATGGAGTGGGTGGTGGGCCCTTAAGTGGTAAATGCGGCAATAAATGCATACCTCTGTGGAAGGGGCATTCACCTAGTTGTCGCTAGTGGGCGTATTTATTTCTTTAATTAGTTCATTCATTTATTCATTCATTCTGGGACAGGTTCTCACTCCGTCACCCAGGTTGGAGTGCTATGGTGCTATCATAGCTCACTGCAGCCTTATAGCTCACTGCAGCTTATATCTCACTGCAACTCCTGGGCTCAAGCAATCCTCTCACTTTAGCCTCCCTAGTAGCTGGGACTATAGGCTCACATCACCATGCCTGGTTAATTTTTAAAAATTTTTGGTAGGCAGGGTCTTACTATGTTGCCCTCAGGTCTTGAACTCTTGGCCTCAAGCGATCCTCCTGCCTTGGCATCCCAAAGTGCTTTACAGTATTTCTTTATTTTGAACATGATCTTGGACTTCTTATGGGTCTCTGTGAATAGTAGACTGCTATGTTGAAAATATTTTTAAAACTCCTTTGCTTTCTTTTTTAGAGAAAAATCGACCAGGCTAAAGAAAGGCATGGATAAAATAGTAGGCTTGGATCTTTTTCCTTTCCCTTTTCTGCCCAGCCTGAAGGCATTGGAGGCCCATGAATCCCTTGGCTGTAGACTGAGTCCTCACACATAGGTCCTGAGATAGTTTGGGGATGTGGTGAGGTTGAATTTGTGACAGATCCCTTTGTTTTTGACATAATAAAATGCCCAGGGTTGCCTTGTTTCATTACTTGATTAAGGTTTATTATCTAAACTGCAAGGTGTCACTTAGTTACAAAACTGAATAGAGAGTTAAGTTGGATCTTTCTGTTGACAAGAAAATTATCAACTCTTTCTCATAAATTTATCAGCGAATCACAGAAACAAAGTGGGATGCTTTTTCAACTGCTTTGGTGAAGGCTGTACTAATTCTTTTTGCAAATTATGTGAGAAGAATCTTGTGGGAGGTTATAGAACTAATTCACTGGCTTGCGGGAAGACTGATTTGACTTTTATCTCTTGAGGTTGGCAGTAAATGCTCTTATTTAGTTTAGAGCAGAAAGGCTTTATCACCTCCGCTTTTCCATGACTCACAACTTTCTGTAAGCAGTCACACTGTGCTTTACAACGAGGGGTGCAGTGAGTGTTTGGGGAAAAGTGTTATCTAAATCTAGCCAGCCATTTTGAGTCTGAGAGCATGAAATAGAGCAAGAGAAGCAATTGATCTTTCCAAACTTCACATTTGCAATGTATTCAGGCCCTAAGAACTAACTTTCCTATTAAGAGGGAAGAAATCTGGTGAATATTTTAAAACAAAATTAATTCTGGCTTTAAAGCTTTCAAATAGACATTTCCAACTTGCACAGGCTACCCATAATTTTAGGAAAAGTGAGTAGCTTTAGGCAAGATTGTTTCTCTGTTGGTGAGTGCAAATGTGTATGAAAACTATTTGTTTCTCATGTAAAATTGGATCGGTTGACATAAGCATATTTTTTAAAGCCTGGAGATAGAAGTCTACATGAAAAACTTTACTCAGTTATCTCTTCCTGAGAACTGGAATTTAGTCAAACATGTTACTGTGAGATGAGGCACAATCTGAAATAAATGTTTTACATTCATTTCTCTCTGAATTTGTATCAGAATGGGTTTGTAAAGCAGAGTTAGAAGTAAATGTCAGTAAATTGGGTAGTGAGAAGCCTCTCGTGTTGAAATGTCATTTGGGAAGGGAATACTAGAGCTAAAATCATGATAATTTTGTGTTTTGTTTCTTCTCTTTGCATCTGTTGCCTCCTTCTGAATCCACAATCTGTTCCTCTTTTCACATTGAAAAAGAACTAGAATTGGGCCAGTAAGAAAACACAGAAAGTTGAAAAATTACCTCCTTAGACTTAAGACATTGAAATATTAAAGTTTTCACATAGATTTCATTATCATTTATAGCCTAGAAAAGCAAAGGAGAAACCAGGGTGAACTAAAATAGTGGTATTTTTTGAGTTCTGAATTAAGGTTCATATAGGGTCCAAATTTGTTTGTTTTCAACAACATAATTTGAAGTTAAAAATTCCTTCCTTCCTTTCCTTAAGTAACATTTAGTGTTTTACAGTTTAGTGTCCCATAGCATGTGTAGCAAGCTGTCTTCAAAAATCAGTGCTAAATTGTACCCTTCAATTTGCATTCAAATGCCACAACTCTTTCCCCAATGATTGGAGGAGAGAGGACATAAAAATACAAATATATAGCTATTATGTACATGTAATTATTTTACCCATTTATTATGCTGCTTCATTCATATTTGTTCAATCAGAAGAATGGATTCTAGCCTTGGTTCTGCCATTGACTGGCTGTTTATTTTTGGTCATGGCTCCTTAATCTGAGTCACATTTTTCTTATCTATTAACATGGCTGGAACAGATGATCAATAAAGACCTTTTCTTTTTTTTTTTTTTTTTTTTTTTTTTTTTTTTTTTTTTTTTTGAGACGGAGTCTCGCTGTCGCCCAGGCTGGAGTGCAGTGGCGCAATCTCGGCTCACTGCAGGCTCCGCCCCCTGGGGTTCACGCCATTCTCCTGCCTCAGCCTCCCGAGAAGCTGGGACTACAGGCGCCCGCCACCTCGCCCGGCTAATTTTTTGTATTTTTAGTAGAGACGGGGTTTCACCGTGTTAGCCAGGATGGTCTCGATCTCCTGACCTCGTGATCCGCCCGCCTCGGCCTCCCAAAGTGCTGGGATTACAGGCGTGAGCCACCGCGCCCGGCGAAGACCTTTTCTTAATTCCATACATATTCTACTTCCTGACACCTCTTTCTGGGAACATTTTAGTTTGTTTTTTGTCTGATTTCCTAATTAATGAAGGATTTCGTCCATGGCTGGCAAGATGAAAAGAAGTAGGAATTAGGTTCTGCAGACTTATTCTCAAGGCAACTGGAAAGCTGTTCTCTGAAAGAAAGATGGGTCAAGTTGAAGTGCACTGCTCACCACGTTGTTAATCCAAACACATGGAAGTCATCCAAGTAGAAGTTATTTCCCTCTCACCCTCCCTTCATCTTTCCCTCTCTTCACCTTTCTCGCCATTCCTATCCAGTCATACCTATCATTTCTATTTATAGTATCCTGACCAGGCCACCATCATCTCTTACCTAAATAACAACAGCAGCCTCATAAGTTCAGTCCTATTCTCTCCACTTTCCATACAGTAGCCATACAGTGTGATCTCATTTTATTCCACTCTCCAACTCACCCATCTGCCCCGTAGTAGCCTCCTTTTGGTTCCTATGGAATGCCAAGCTCCTTCTCTTATGAGAAAACACACTTCTACCTGGAGCAGTCCTTTTTCTACTTTTTCCATGCCTGGAAGTTTCCCTTCCAGCATATCTCAGCTTAAATATTAACTCTTTAGAAAGATAATCCTTGACGAAGCAGTTCTCTATCACTGTCTCTCTCTCACTTTACAGGTTGCGCTACAGTTTGAATGTGTCCTCCAAAAAGCAGGTGTTGGAAACTTAATCCCCAATGCAACAGTGTTAAGAGGTGGGACCTTTAAGAGGTGATTACTGGCTCTATCTTCATGAATGAATTAATGCCGTTATTGCAGGAATACATTTGTTACTGAGGGAGTAGGTTCCTTATAAAAGGATGAAGTTGACCCCCTACTGCTCTCTCTCTTCTCTTGCTCTTTCGTCTTCTGCCATGAGATTGTCCAGGAAAATCCAAACTCTGTAAAATATTTCAAAGAGGTTTATTCTGAGCCAATATGAGTGTGATGTTGGCCCAGGGAAAAACACAAACCCAAGAAGGCTTGAATAAGTGGTTCTCAGGCAGTTAGGTCACAACTCTGTTTTTTTAAATATACATTTTAGGGAAATAGAAGTTACAGGCAAAGTCATAAACCAATATATGGAGGTTATAGGTTGCTTTGGCCCCCAAAGATGGTATCTCTTGAAGCAGGGGCTTACAGGTCATAGGTAGGTTCAGAGATTCTTCAATTTGCAGTTGGTTAAAGGAATAAAGCTCTGTCTTAAATGTGAGAGTCAGCAGAAAGGAACATTTTAAGTTAAGGTAAGGATGCTATGGGGCAAAACTGATGGCCCGCAGGCGTGAGTTAACCCTTGCCTTGTATGGCCTCAGGTCTTGTTTATAGTTTGGTGTCTTATTGCCACCGTCTGTTTTGTCAGTCTTGTGAGTTCTATTTTAACATTAATGCTGGTCATTTGTTGTGCTTAAACTCCTAAAGGGAGGAGGTATAATGAAGCGTTTCTAACCTTTCTTCCCATCATGGCCAAGAATTCAGTTTTTAAGGTTTTTCTGGGGTCCCCTTAACCACAAGGAGGTCTGTTCAGTTGGTGGGGGGCTTAGGTTTTTATTTTTAGTTTACAGCATAATGCAGCAAAAAGGCCCTGGCCAGATGCTGACCCTTTGATCTTGGACTTCCCAACCTCCAGAACTGTGAGAAATACATTTCTACTCTTTATAAATTACCTAGTCTCAGGTATTCTGTTATTGCAGCACAAAGTGGACTAAGACAGAAAGTAGGTACCAAGAAGTGAGGCTGCTGCTATCACAAATAAATGAAAATGCAGAAGCAGCTTTGGAACTGGATAATGGGTAGAGGCTGGAACAGTTTTGAAGTGAATGCTGGAAAAAGCCTAGACTTCCATGAGTAGGGAGTTGAGGGAAATTCTGATGAGAGCTCAGAAGTAGAGAATAGTGGGAGGGAAAGTCTGAAACTTCTTAGAGGTTACTTAAGTGGTCATTTTCAGAATGTTGGTAGAAATATGGATGGTAAAAGCAAGTCTAATGAGGTCTCATATGGAAATGACGAATGAGGTATTGGAAACTGGAGTAAAGGCCATCCTTGTTATAAATCAGCAAAGAACGTGGCTGAATTGTGTCCATGCCCCCAGGGGCTTTATGGAAGGGAGAATTTAAGAGCAATGGATTAGGGTATCTGGCAGAAGAAATTTCTAAGCAAAATATTGAAGGATCTATGTGACTTCTTTAAACTGCATACAGTAAAGTGAGAGAAGAAATAAATGATTTAAAAATGGAATTTATAATTAAAAGGAAAATAGAACTTAAGGATTTGAAGTATTCACAGCCTGGACAAATAAGGAACAAAGAAGCATGCAGGGGTTCAGCCAAGTAACCATTTGATGAAAGGATTAGCATGTATAGAAGGAAGCCAGGTGCTATTCATCAATGGGAGAATGACCCCGAAGGCATTTCAAAGATCTTCAAAGCAGCCCCAAAGGAACTGCCATAGTGCCTGCAGGAAGTCAGCCTTTGCTGCCCTGCACTGCCTCAAGTTTCTGCTCCTTGCATTCCTATGCAATGCCCCTCAGCCTCCCTAGTGATTAACCCTCAGCTTCCCTAGCCAATACCCCTCAGACTCCCCAGCCATGGCTCAAGTAGGCCCATATTCAGCCTGTGCCACCACCCTGGAGGGCACAACTGGTAAAGCTGGTGAATGTGGCAGTATCTATGTGGTGCTAATTCTGCAGGCACATAGAATGCACAGGTTGTGGGGCTGTGGCAACTTCCACCTAGATTTCAAAAGATGTATCAGACATGCTGGAGGCCCAGGTAAAAACCTGCTGCAGGAGCAGAACCACTGCAGAGAGTTCCCACTAGGGCAATGCCTAGTGGAGCCCCAGGAGTGGGACCATCAAGACCCCAGAACTATAGAGCTACCAGTGTACAGTACCAGCCAGAGAAAGTTACTGGCATAAAACTCCAACTTGTGAGAGTTCTTCATGAGAGGGGCCCAGCAAAGTTATGGGGACAAGGAGGCCCGAGGCCTTGGTGGCCCAACCTTTCTTGGTATGACCAGAAGATGGCACATGGAGTCAAGGATTATTCTAGACTTTTAAGATTTGCTATTGTTCACCCTGTTAGTTTTGGACTTCCATGAGACCGGTTACCTTTTTGTTGTTGTTGCCTATTTCTCCTTTTTGGAATGGATATGTCTATCCTATGCCCATTTGACCATTATATTTTGGAAGTAGATAACTCATTTGATTTTACAGGCTCACAGCGGGAGGGGAATTTACCTCAGATTGCACCACGCCTTGAATCTCACCCATATATTTAAATGAGGCTTTAAACTTTTGAGTTGATGCTGGAGGAGTTAAAACTTTTGGGGCTATTGGGATTGAATGAATGTATTTTGCATATGAGAAGAACATGAATTTTGGGAGCCAGGGATGGAATGCTGTGGTTTGAATGTGTCCCCAAAAAGCATGTGTTGGAAAATTAATTCCCAAATGCGTGAGTTAAGAGGCGGGCCCCTTCCTCATGAATGGATTAACACTCTTATTTTGGGAGTGGGTTCCTTGTAAAAGGATGAGTCCAACCTCCTCTTGCTCTCTGTCTCTCATTTTCTCTTGCCCTTCTGCCTTCTGCTGTGGGATGATGTGACAAGAAAGCCCTTGCAAGATGCTGGCCCCTCAGTCTTGGACTTCACAGCCTCCAGAACTGTGAGAAATAATTTTTGTTATCATAAATTACCCAGACTCAAGTATTCTGTTATAGCAGCATAAAGTAGACTAAGACAGGTTGTAAAGCATTTATTTGCTTGTGTGATGAGTATAAATCTTTACAAAATTTAGTTGTGCAAAAATGGAATGTTATTTCTTTATAACTGAACCAGCTTCAGCTCATGAGTCCCCAGTTTTATTGACTGATGACAGTTGGGGGAGGGGGGGAAATCTTGTGCATTCAAGGTAAATTCAGATTATTCTGGAGTTTCTCAGTTCTTTTTTTTTTTTTTTGATAAATGCCCTATTAATTAAGAATGGTTTTCTTTCACTCTTCTCCTTTGCTTCTTCCTTAAGGTAATTACAATTCTGGAGGATGTTGTATATTTTCTTAGCTTCAGGGGAGTAGTATCTAGTTGGTGCCATCTTCTGTCATTGATTGTCCCTAGTTGAAATATATAGAGTCTGAATACCCTCTTCCTCTCTCAAATTCTGATGAATTGAGATATAAGACAAAAGAAGAAGGCATACGTAGACTGAAATAGCCCCATTATTATTATTAAAGCTAATATTTAAAAAGTTTTATATCTGTAGGCAAGTAGATTTGCTCATCACTGCTTTAGCCTGAGGAAACATTTAAAAAATAGTCTGTAACAGTAAATGCTGAGGTTATTTCAATTTGGAAAGAACAATGGTTGTCTTAAACTTTGTTCTCCATGTGTCTCTGCTTGCAGGAGAAGAGCTTGGCTATAGTCTTGGTGAAATTTTCCAACACAATTTTAGTTATTTCTTTTTTTTATAAAAAGTTTTAGAACAGACTTTAATTCTATTATGTACTCTGTAAGTATTTGTTGAATGGATGAAAGCATTTAGTATACATGGGCATTTTACTTAATGCGTACATTTAGCTTTAAAGCAAAAATGTTGGAAACAAGAATTATTTTGTAGATGTTCATTTGTGTATGTGTGTGTGTCTGTGTGAGTATGCATGCATCCCTTTAGAAGCACAAAAATGCAGCACTGGCCGGGCGCGGTGGCTCACGCCTGTAATCCCAGCACTCTGGGAAGTCGCGGCAGGCGGATCATGAGGTCAGGAGATGGAGACCATCCTGGCTAACACGGTGAAACCTCATCTCTACTAAGAATACAAAAAATTAGCCGGCGTGATGGCGTGTGCCTGTAGTCCCAGCTACTCAGGAGGCTGGGGCAGGAGAATGGCGTGAACCCGGGAGGCGGAGCTCTCAGTGAGCAGAGATCGCACCACTGCACTCCAGCCTGGGCGACAGAGCAAGACTCCGTCTCAAAAAAAAAAAAATGCAGCACTGCTGACTTTCTATGGTAGATAACGTCTAAGATGGCCCCCAGTCGTCTCTGCCTTCTGGTATTTACATCTTGTGTAATTCCTTCACCTTGAATGCATACTGGACCTGGTGACTCACTTGTAACAAATAGAATATGGAAAAAGTGATAGATTTCACTTGTGGCATTAGATTACATAAATATTGTGGCTTCTATCTTGGGATCTCTCTCTCTCTCTCTTTCTCTTTCTGTCTCTGAAGGAAGCCAGCTGCCACACTGTGAGAGCAGCCCTATGGAGAGGCCTACGTGTCAGGGAACTGAGAGAGGGCTCTGGCAAACAGCCAGCAAGAAACTGAAGCCTGTAACTGAACAGCTCTTAAGGAACTAGATCTTGCCAACAGCTACATGAGTGAGTTTGAAAGTGGAGTCTCCCTCATTTGAGTTTTCAGATGAGGCTACAGCTCCAGCTGATAGTTTGGCTGTAATTTCATGAGAGAGACCTTGATCCAGAGACACCCAACTGAGCTGTGACCAGATTTCCTACCCACAGAAATGGTGAGATAATGTTTGTTGTTTTGAGCTGCAAAATTTTGGGGTCATTTGTTACACTATGAAAACATAAGTAATACGTTGTCTACATGAAGTAGGAATAACAGAACATATCCCATCCAGCACCTAGTAGCAGAGAGAGAGCATTCAGAAGGTGCTCAATACATGCTTATTAATATTTACAAGTGGTAGACAACCAAAACATTTGTTGAATTGTTCTAGGAATTAAAATTTTCCTGTTGCCTTAAAAGAAAATTAGTTCTTTTGGAGTGAAAGCAGACATACATAGACAGATATTTATTTATCTTTCATCTGGATTAATTGTTAAATACAGGTGTCTGTATTAATTTTTGCTTCTGAAGGGAGGGAGGGACAGAGGGGGACCTAAACAATTATTGCACATCAGGTCGGGTGAGGTGGCGCATGCTTGTAATCCCAGCATTTTGGTAGGCTGAGGTGGGCAGATCACTTAAGCTCAGGAGTTCAAGACCAGCCTGGGCAACATGGTGAAACGTCATCTCTACAAAAAAAAGTAAAAATTAGCCAGATGTGGTGGTACTCACCTGCAGTCCCAGCTACTCAGGAGTCTGAGGCAGGAAGATGGCTTGAGCCCCAGAGGATGAGGCTGCAATAAGCTGAGATGTCTCAAAAAACAAAACAAAACAAAACAAGAAAAATTATAGCACATCACATTAGGTAGAATATTGAAAATTATACCTGCAAAAGTAAATCACATTGAATTATGGATCAGAAGATCTGTTAGAGGAAGACAGCTAAGCCAATTTAGATGGACTTAATATTTTGATGAAGTTAAGTTCAAGGGTAGTCTTTATAACCTTTAGTCATAACAATTTGCTGCTATTGCCATATATTTGGAGTATTAATGCAAAATATTTTCATCATGTTCCTTTCCGTTTTGGAGGGGCTGAGAGAATGCTGACATTATTGTATATATCCTCTGAAATAAGATCATACACATAAGAGGTGGGAAAGCATAGTGGTTGATATAGGTCCTGGAGTCAGATGGGTAGGATGCTAATCTGGGCTCCATCATTCCACTTACTCATTTTGGGACCTTTGGCATATTGCTTAACCTGTCTGAGCTCCAGTTTCTTCCTAATTACAGCACCTAGTGGGAGGAATACACATACCATATAAAGGTATATCACAGTATTTGGCACTTAACTGAATGCTAGCTGTCATTAATTAGTCTTATTATTATTACAAGTACTAAACATTGTGCCTGGCACATAGTAGCAATAAATGTTTCCTGCCTTTTCTTTTTCCCCCGTTTCCTAAAATCTAGCCCATAATATTTTCTGAGTTCTATTTATTGATTGTATATATTTCTTCCAATTCAAGAAACATTTTGGTGCAGGAAACTTTTTTAATGCACTGCTTGTTTCAGCCTTCTCTAATTTCTCTTCTTATTCCTGAGGGGTTTAATGTTAGTGAAGTCTTCTGAGAGCTTTCAACATAATGCTTCAAGCAGTAGTTTGGATTCACCAGGTAACAGCAGATTTTTTCCGTAAGTTTAGAAATTCTCAGTAGCCAAATGAGCTAAAGGGGATATTTTTATCCTTTAGTTATTCTAGTTATGTAGGATTGAGTGCCATTTTGTATGTTCTCCATGAGTATCAAATTAGCAGGGAGGGCTATAGTTGTCTCAAAATGTGAGAGAAAAACTAGTGACATCAGTGCTTATCAACAGGATGGAATAGTGTAGGAAATTGACATAAGGGAAAGCAATGGGGAATTGTTTTCAACAAAATGCAGCAGGGCTAACCTACGTTAAAATAATCTTAAATTTTTCCTATTACCTTAAATGAAACTAATTTCAGTTTACCAAGTTTAACATTGCGATTATTAAAAAACCCAAAATAATTCTGGCTTTGTCCACTTTTGCACTTAAAATAATTCAGTTAAAGGAGTAATTTTTTTTTCCTCACCAGTTCAATGCCTATGATCAAATTGAATTCATTACACCGTTTCTAGGAAAGGATTAAGCATATCAAAGACATACAAATTAGAGTGTTGCCAAGGATTTGAGAAGTGTAAAAATTCTACAAGATCAGGTTTTCATGAAAGGGAATGGAGAGATTGTGTAGGATATTTAGCAGTCGAGAGGAGTTTAAATGCAGAATAAAGCTCATATAGGGAAATAGCACCTTGGGAGTTTCAATAGAATAAAGCTAATATAGGGAAATAGAACCTTGAAAGTGAAACCCTCTAAATTCAGTATTTTGTTTAAGTACCTTCAATTCTTCCCTAGTATGGAAATATTTTTGTTCATTTTTTTAAAATAGAAATCTTATCAGTGGTCAGGTTCAGGTGCCCAAAGATCATTTCTAAGTAAAGCCATTGGGAGTTCACATCTTTGTTAATGTATTCATTCATTCAACAAGTATTAATGAGTACCTACTATCTGCCATGCCCTGTCTTAGGCCCTGGGATATAGTGGTGAACAAAACAAGCTTGGGTTTTGGAAAGTGGTGCCTTTTATATTGAATCCCATTCCCCTTCTGTAGGAATATTTACAGTGCCTATTTGCACATTAAAGGCTCAGAGAAGGCCTGCAGGAAAGAAACCTATTTACCCTTTCTGGACATATTTCCCAAACTTATTGAGGACAGAATGCTTTTATCATGAGACACCTTTTACATCCTCAAGGGATTTTTTAAAAAAATATACTATGGAAAATCTAGGTTAAGATGAAATGTGCTGCCTAGAAGGACAGAACGACATTGAATAGCAAGGTTAATGTAACACTGCTTTAATTCATACTCACTGATTGCAGGGACTCCACTCAACAAAGAGGAAGTATGTTACCGCCTTGGTTTTGTCCAAGACACTTTCCATCCTGTATGTTTGCAATAGTCACATTTTTCCAGCTTGGGAAATAATACGAGTTTAATATGACAAGGAATATTTTCAGTTCGTTAAAAGTGCCCACTAGCTGCTTTCTACCTCCTTACCTTCCTTACCCTTTATGGCCCTCCATTTTGTAGAAATAGATAAAAATGTTGAATATGTGATTCAATAGGGTTCTTTTAAAAACATTCCAACAAATCTAAGTGATCTGAAAGAAGAGATCTCTGCCTTTTTTGTGAATTGCATGTCTTCATAAGGCTAAAATACCTGTCAGAGGTACATTAGTGCACTGCAAAAAATTAATACATGCAAAGTAACGTAAGCACATGGTACTTTTAATTTTTCAGTGGTCCAGGGCACTGTTATCTGCTCTTTTCTGGGAAATCACTCATCATGTAGCTGTTGGGGAAAGGGAGCACTTCAGCCCCTTTTCTGGGAGCAATCCAATGCAGTATGGATATTAATTAAATTTATTAAACAAATAACACAGCGACTCGGGGAAGCAGGGGTCCATCTGCCAGCTCTGCAGACAGATCTCTGCAGAGACGCGAGCTGAATGGTAGTTAAAGCGAAGTTGCCGAGCTCAGCAGATGGGCTCTTGTCTCCAGTGGGGGAGATTTGGTGGCGGTCCAGCAACTCTCTTTCCCCTCCAGGTTTTTGTTCCTTGCAACTGTGATTGAAGAAGCCCTTTTCTGTCTTTTCCCAGCCTTGTGTCTGTCTCCCCCCACCCCACCCCCCTTTGTTTATGTGAGCAATGTTTAAATCTGAGTGATTTGTTAGAGAGGCAAGTCCCGGCTGATCTCATTTTGTGTATGTGCTGTAAAGCTCAAGCAGAAAATAATTAGGAAAATGTAATCCCATTGACTTTACACCCCACTTGTGTACATTGCAGCAGCTCAGCCTCATGCCCTGGAATAAAGTCTCTGAGCAGATATGAATTTAGTCAGCATCCCCATTCACTGCACTAGGAAGTTTATATTATTCTGATGTTTAGAGACTTACTATTTGTCAAATTATTCCTTAGATTGCTTTTAAACTTTTAAACTATGCAATTTAAGGATGCTTGTTTGTTTATCCCTAACATCTTCACATTCTGTTGGCAAGTGTCTAGGTACCTTAAATCCCAGTGTATCCTTCACTTGCCTTCAGGGATAAGACGTCATTGATGATGTTTGATCAGCATATTTGTGATTCGTTGTGTCTTTTAGAAACCCGGTTCCCCACCTCCCAACCCACTTCTACCCCAAAAGGTGGTGAATTTGAAATCTTTTGGTAATGACGGACCACTTTGCTTTCAGGTGATTATTGCTTCTCAGCGTTTGGTATAATTTTCACAAAAGCCCACTTGGATGGAATTTAACACTAGGATGGTACAGTTATGGAAATCACCCTGCCCCCCACCTATTCTCCCTACTTGAACCTTTGCAAAAATCATTTTGTAGAAGGACTTCTCATCTCTGGCTACGTATCCTCACTAGAGACTGATGCCTTTCCCAAGGGGAGCCACACAACCCTGCTAGGCAGATTGTGCACTCTATTGATGGCAAAGTTTTGGACTAAATAGATACCACCTCGGGCTCTGTCCTGAAATGCCCTTGCCTTGGAGAGATAGGTCTGGTTCCAGCCAACCTGACAGTGGAACATATTTGCAGAGATAAAGGCTCCTCTGTGGAATAGAAACTCCTCCAATCCCAGTATATTCTCCACCTCCCCACAAAACCCACCATTCTCTGCCAGCTGAGGTCTCAGCTGGTCACAGAACCCAAAGAGAAGAGTGCATGAATCTGGGATTATGATTCTCCCAAGGTGTATTGAATTTTATGGAAATGTGGAGGTCAGAGCTTTAGTCCAGTTTGTAAGAAGAACCAACAAATGGATTCATTTATTGAAGCACAAGGAAATCTTAGCCGCAAGCCTGTGTCCATCCGGGGTGGTCAGTTCATTTCTGCTGCACATGAAGGTGTTCAGCCAGGTCCTCCCCTGATATTGGTCCTTGTTTGTGCTTTTGGAACCCAACTTGAAACCTGACTTTCATGGGGTTTAACCAGGAGATGAAATATTTTAGCTGCTGTCAGTCCCTGCCCCTCTCTGAGGTTCTAGCTCTCCCTCGGGCCACACTAATATTAATAATATAAAGGCTTTTGTTGTTATGGCAAATGGTTGGAATTAGGAGTAGATTTTTGTTTTTCATTAGAGCCCTGCCGAGAGTTATTGTGAACTTCAAAATTATCATTACACCCAATCCTTTATGGAACTGAAAAAAGCTCCACTCAAAAGATGGTCATGAAGTGGCTGGTGAAAAATGTTTGTTTATCAGCAAATCGTAGGTGAACTGCCAATTTATTTCTCTAATTTGTCGGAAGTGAAAATCTGCTGGGGTTGGGGGGAAGACTGCATTTTGAATTCATAGGCGATTTACCATGGTGTCTGTTCTGCCTTTCCTTCCACCCCGGTGTACCTGGACTAATTTTGTTCTCTGATTTAAATTGCAATCTAGTTGCTCTGGCATCTCAATTTAAGGGAAAATTGAACGTTGTTTTTCAAAGGGAATTGCAAGTGTTCTACTCTTGTCTGAAAACAGATTGTGGCTTCTTTCCCAAGGAGAAGCTTAGAAATTACATACAATTCTCAGGGTTTTATTCGTAGCAAAATGTTTTCTACCCTTTTGTCCACACATTAGTATAAATGAATAAAACAGAGAAAAATCCAGAAAACACCCCGACAGACAGTGTGTGCGTATTTCTGATCAGCTTCCTGAGCCTGCCATTCTGCTGAACACATTTTGTTTACTCTAGGGCTTCCAATTGCTTTATTGCAGATTTTGTGGGCAGCATGACAATTTGAGACTAAATGCATAAAAAGGCTTTTGATTGGGAATAAAAGTTAACACTCATCTGTAAGGAACTGAAAAGTAGCTTTAAAAATAACAGTTTATTTTATTTTTATTCTTTTTATTTTTACTTTTAAAATACAGACAGGTTCTTGTTTTGTCACCCAGGCTGGAGTGCAGTGGCCCAGTCATAGCTCACTACAGCCTCCAACTCCTAGGCTCAAGTGATCTCCTATTTCAGCCTCCCAAGTAGCTAGGACTGTAGGTGCACTACCACACCTGGCCAATTAAAAACATTTTTTTTTTTTTTTTTTTTTTTTGTAGAAACAGGGTCTCACTATGTTGCTCAGGTTGGTCTCAAACTCCCGTCCTCAAGCAATCCTCCCACTTCGGCCTCCCAAAGTCCTCGGATTACAGGCGTGAACCACCATGCCTGGCCAGTTTATTTTTAAATTGTCTGATAAGGACAGGTATCTTTCACACATTGTTTTTATTTATTTGGCTTTGATGTCTCTTTCTTCCAGGATCTGAAATGCCAGCGTTAAAAATATTCAGTCCAGAGCTTCCTCTGTTACTCCTAGCTCTCTCCCTTTTCTGATGAGCATTTTACAACGCTCCCATGTTTGGGAATACCATCCCTACCCCTATGCTGCAACTGTGTCCAGAAGTAAATGTGTGACTTCTCAAAATATGTATTGTATTGTCTAGAAGAGGGACTGAAGAATGTGCTGTCTCTGAGCAAATTCAAGTGAGACCCAGGCCTGACTGTTTTTGACTGAAAATATTGATGTTTGACCTGTGCCTAAGGGAACATAGCCCAGCTGCTGAGATAAAAGGAAGGTTCATGGTCATTGTCATCTTTGAGGATCTCACACAGTCTGTTTCTAATGCTTCAGTCTGATTTCTGGGACCAAGTCTGGTATCTACTTTACATTACACCATGGAGCTTTGCACAATTATGGATAAGATAAACGTTGATTGATTGTCGATTAGATTTACATTTGTTTTCCAGGGGCCAAGCAAAATAATCCAGCACTCTGTGTCTTGGCCTCTGGCCATCTGAGTCTTCCCTGGTCCAGGAATTCCTAATCTTTGCAGTGCTTCAGAAAACTGTCTTCAGTTCTGCTAATCCAGCCTTCTGAGGTCAAGCTGACTGGAGGGCCTTCCAGAGGCCAGCGTGATTCTTTTGTTCTCATTTTACAGCAGATTTGAATTCAAATTCAGAGTCTTGCAGTGAGAAAGGAATTATTTCTAAGCCACGTAGTCCAACTCCCTCCTAGTCATGATGGGGGACTATGCTACTTGTCCACTTGTGGACAGTAGAGTTCACCCCACATTATTGAAGTTTTACATTTTGTGAATTTTTCACTTTAGATGTTAGAAATGTATTTCTTATATTAATGAGTAAAATTTCAATCTAAGGAAACCCATAGTTTGTTTCTAGAGGTGATGATGATAAAATCACAGTTCAGCTGGGTGTGGTGGCTCATGCCTGTAATCCCAGCACTGGGAGGCCAGGGTGGGCGGATCACTTGAGGTCAGGAGTTTGAGATCAGCCTGGCCAACATGGTGAAAACCTGTCTGTAGTAAGATTACAAAAAAAATTAGCCAGGCGTGGTGATACGTGCCTATAGTCCCAGCCACTCTGGAGGCTGAGGCAGGAGAATCACTTGAACCCAGGAGGCGGAGGTTGCAGTGAGCTGAGGCTGTGCTGTAGCCTGGGCGACAGAGCAAGACTGCCTCAAAATAAATAAATAAAAATAAATAAAAATCACAATTTAGCTCACGTCTGTCACTATTTACTATACTATATGTCTTCAAATATACACGGATTTAATGAGAACTAGCTACTGTTGTTTGAGTACTTACTATGTGCTGGCCCCTGTGCTAAGCATTTGGCATACATTATGCCACTTAATCTTCACAACATATTGGTATTGTCAAAGATGAAGAAATTGATGTTAGAAGATGTTATATAATTTGCCCAAAGTCTGATCTAATGAATCTAAAGTCACATCTAATAGCCAGACTTGGATTTGAAATCAAGATAGCTAAGTCTAAAACCCCTGCATTTAACCACTCTGCTATATTGATGCCCTGTATGTACTCATTTCTAATTTATAACTTACTTAGAGCCAAGAGGAAGTTGAGGTCTTCTCAAATAAAAGTGCACATAAAATAACATAGTTGAAAACTAAACTAAAAAGCTAAATCATATGGGAGCCCTTCACATTTTTGGAAACAAGAATCCTATCTCCTCTAAGTTTGTATTTTCTAAGTCAATATTGTTGGTTTCTTTAACTTTCTATCTATTGTTGGGAGAAGGCTGGGTTTGAGACCATGAACTCTTTGGGGGAAGTAGCCTTGTCTGATCACTGTAGCATTTCCAGTGCCTACTGGATGGTGTTAAGTAAATGCTGAAGAAATGAGCCAGAGAAGATGAAGGTAAATACATAGATTTGACTCGGCTGCCATTGCTGAAGCAGGCCCACTCAGAGCAGGTTCTGGGTGAAACCGAATGGTGGCTGTGACTTGGGAACCCAAGACAAAAAGGGGCAGGGAAGGAGAAGAGGTAGAATAAGAGAATATTTCTCCTTCTTGTCTCTTCTCCACTGTGCACTATTTTCATTGTGTACATCACTGTAAGCCACCTTGAATCTCTTTTACTTATTATTTATTTTTTTGAGATGGGGTCTCACTATGTTGCCCAGGCTGGAGTACAGTGGCTATTCTCATACGTGATCAAAGCACACTACAGTAGCCCCAAACTCCTGGCCTCAAGCGATCCTCCCGCCTCAGCCTCCCAAGTAGCTGGGATTACAAGTGCACACCACTGTGTCCACCCCTTGAATCCCTTTTAGAATGAGCAGGACATAAATAAATGCTTATATATTTATACAGACACACAGACATACACATAAAATAGACCAAACTGACCTGTTGGTTAAATCCTTTGTTGTCTGCTGAGATAGGTAAAGGAAGGGCGGTTTCACAATTAGGAAGAGGCTACTGATCGTCAGACTCATAGAAAAGGTAAAGAGGCACAGGCCAAGATGGTCGGAAAGGATGCACCTGCTGCTACTGTGGGAGCCATTCCTGCTGGTCTCAAATCGTGATCATCCCAGATGCCACGGTTTTTCGGCCTTTGCCATTCTGATCGTTTTCCTCTGTAACTTAAGATAGTTTCCCTTAAGACCATAATGCTGTATCTCAAAGACATGCAGAAAGGATAGAACTGTTCCTGTCTTATTTATTGCAAACAGTTTTACATATGTTATTAATGCACCTGGAGACTGTGTTTTTTAACAACCACAAACATCAGTCTGTGCATCATACTGACCTTGTAATCATCTAAAACCCCTAGTTCTCTTCAGAGATTCCCCACCCCACGTTTGTGCAGTTGACATTTTGCACCTAAATTTGGGACTTTATGTTAATCACTCCCACTTTATAGATGGAGAAGCAGGTTCAGGGAGGCTAAGAACCCTTCCCTCTCTTGACCTCCTACCTTTTCTCTACCTCCCTTGTGGTCCTGTCATTTTTTATTTGTTTGCATCCAATCCTCTGAGTTGTGCCTCTTCCTATGCTGGCTGATTTCGCTGTGGTCTTGACCAGGTGGTACCAGGGCACTGAATGGTGGGGTCAAGGGGGATTTTCACGATGGTCTTCTCAGTGGTAATATCTCCAAAATATGATAAACCATCCAGTGGTTGTCTCCAATATGATCATTATGCTAAAATGACTGTCATCCTCTGCCATCTTCATATGCTGTTTTCATTCCCGGGAGGAGGGGAGAAGGCAGGAGAAACTACAATTTCATCAGAACCCGGCAGCCCAGTCATCACTGGGTGCCTTGGTATACACTTGTTTTGTTCTCCTCAGGGAACATCTGAGGGCGAGCTTAGTGGGTGGGCCCCTACTGTAGGGTGGCATTGGCTCCCATCTCTAACCACCAACTCTGCTTGGCCATAGTCAGGATGCCCAAGTCAAGTGGTGGGGTTTTGTGATGTTAGAAAGGTTTACTGCAGAGGGGAGGGTGCAAATCACTCGTTTTCCAGCAGGAGAGAGGGTTGGCTTACAGACGGCTCTTTCTGCTCTCAGTCAGGCTTCTGCATCCAAGAAGTCTCCCAGGTATCAGAACCTTCTGTTTATGAAGAAGGAAACATATAAGGAGGAGCCTGATGAAAAGGCTTCGTTCTTTGAACAGGTCACAGCACAAAGAAGAAATATTTCTTTCCTATAAGCCCTTTCCTATAAGCCCATGGAGACCAAGGCTGCTGTTCCTTTGCTGGGAATAAGCATTTGCTGTTCCTCAGGGAACAAGAAGGTCTTGACTTGAATCATGGGTACCTGGTGCTTTTCTGTCTCTGACAACTCTGTCCTTCCAGCCCTTACCAGGTCACTGAGGTACAAAGACAAGTTTTGGTTCAGTTCCTCAGAACTTCACTTCTTTTATTTATTTATGGTCTATTTATTTAAATTGACAACTAAAAATTGTGCACCTTTATTTGTACAACATGTTGTTTTGAAATCGGAACTTCATTACTTCTTTTTTTTTTTTTTTTTTTTTTTTTTTTTATGACGGAGTCTCGCTCTGTCACCCAGGCTGGAGTGCAGTGGCGCAGTCTCGGCTCACTGCAAGCTCCGCCTCCCGGGTTCACGCCATTCTCCTGCCTCAGCCTCTCCGAGTAGCTGGGACTACAGGCGCCCGCCACCACGCCCGGCTAATTTTTTTTTTATTTTTAGTAGAGACGGGGTTTCACCGTGGTCTCGATCTCCTGACCTCGTGATCCACCCGCCTCGGCCTCCCAAAGTGCTGGGATTACAAGCGTGAGCCGCCGCGCCCGGCCAACTTCATTACTTCTAATACTCATCAATATTCATTCATTCATTAATCAAATATATGTTGAGTGCCTGCCAGGATCAGGGCATATCATAAAACAAAAACAAGGACAATGGGTCCCTGCCCTTGGAGAATCCCTGTCTGGACAATAAGACAGATATTAAACAAACACACTGACAATTATATAATTAGAAAAGGTGGTAAGTGATGAGAGAGAGGATGGAGAGGGAGACCTCAACTAGTCTGGTGGTTACATGGAAATCCAAGTAATCCCACTCCTGAATATGGACATCCAGATGTGGGGTGGGGTTTGGGGTGGAGTGAGGGATCAGTGTGGGTGGACAGTAGGGAACAAGCCATTGAATCATGTGGTAATAACTATTTGTAAAGATAACCTTTGAAGAGATGAATTTTTTATTTAATGATCTGTAGTGCTTAAATATTTTATCAAGTGCATATATCACTTTTATAATAAAGAGATATTACAATAAAAGTGAAGAAGATAATGCGTCGTATCGTCTTGCTCCTGTCAGAAAGTTCATTAGTTGGTTGACTCTTTTGAGATGCCTATCTTTATCTATAGCTCATCATAAAATTTATGGGACAAAGGAAATATCCTTGTGGTCTTCCCATTAAAAAAATGTAGATGTGGGCCGGGTGCAGTGGCTCACGCCTGTAATCCCAGCACTTTGGGAGGCCGAGGCAGGCGGATCACGAGGTCAGGAGATCGAGACCATCCTGGCTAACATGGTGAAACCCCGTCTCTACTAAAAATACAAAAAAAAAAAAAAATTATCCGGGGTTGGTGGTGGGTGCCTGCAGTCCCAGCTACTCAGGAGGCTGAGGCAGGAGAATGGCGTGAACCCAGGAAGCGGAGGTTGCAGTGAGCCAAGATCGTGCCACTGCACTCCAGCCTGGGCGACAGTGCGATACTCCCTCTCAAAAATAAATAAATAAATAAATAAATAAATAAATAAATAAATAAATGTAGATGTGGAATGGAAAAAATATGCAAATGTTTGTGGAATGTTGAATGATCAGCCAGTATATCGTCTAACAGTGTTTATAGACTAGAAACAGGCATTTTAGGTAGTTGCCATGTTGTTTTCTGCATATAATTTCAGCCATTTGGAAAGCAGCAGGAAGAACATGTTTCCCATTGATATGTGGCCTTTGTCTTTTGCTGTTAAATTATAAACCTCAAAAGAATATTGTGTTTTCTGGGCATGGCGGCTCACTCCTGTAATCCCAGCACTCTGGGAGTTCAAGGAGGGCAGATTGCCTGAGCTCAGGAGTTCGAGCCCAGCCTGGGCAACATGGTGAAATCCCATTAAAAAAATATTGTCAGGCTTGGTGGCGCGTGCCTGTCGTTCCATCTCCTTGATCACTTGAGCCCAGAGGCAGAGTTGCAGTGAGTGGCGATAGTGCCACTGCACTCCAGCCTGGGCAACAGAGCAAGACTCTGTCAAAAAAAAAAAGAAAGGAAGGAAAGAAAGAAAAGGATATTGTGTTTGGCCGCATGTAACAGGCACTTGACTTCAGTGACTAGATTGAATAGAGTCTACTTTTTCCCACAGCCAGGGCTCATCCTGGATGGTTCCAGACCCTTTCTATCTTTCCTCTCTGCTGTCCTTTTCCTATGATGTTGCCTTCATGCCTGTTGCTTCATAGTCACAAGATGGCTGCTCTTAGTCTCACCTCAGAATTCCAGACCAGCAAAGGAGGGAGGGGTGGGGCCTATATTGGTGAAACAAAAGCTGTCCCTGAAATCCCCAGCAGATTTTTACTTGCTTTTCATTGTCAAACAGGCATTGTTATCATAGGCGATGTCAGCTCCATGAGGATTATTGCCCCTGAAGACCTTCCAGGGGATAAGATGGTGAAGGTGGAGACAGTGATACTGATGATCTTGAACCTGTCTGTGTAGGCCGAGGCTCATGTGTGTGTTTGTGTCTTCGTTTTTTACAAAAAACTTCAAAAAGCTAAAACAAAATTTTAGGTAGAAATAAGGATATAGTCCTTATTCTTTTTGTACAGCTGTACAATGTGTTTGTGTTTTAAGCTAAGTGCTATTACAAAAGAGTCAAAAAGTTTAAAAATGTTAAAAAGTTTATACAATAAAAAATTACAATAAGCTGAGGTTAATTTATTATTGAAGACATACATATTTAAATGTTTTAAATATATATTTGGTGTAGTCTAAGTGTACTGTTTTCTAAAGACTGCAGTAGTGTACAGCGATGTCCTAGGGCTTCACATTCACTCACCACTCACTCTCTGACTTGCCCAGAGCAACTTCCAGTCCTGCAGGCTTCATGGTAAGTGCCCCATACAGGTGTACCAGTTTAAATCTTTTATACCGTGTCTTAACTGTACCTTTTTTAAATCTTTAGATATGTTTAGATACATACATCCTTACCATTGTGTTACAATTGCCTACAGTATTCAGTACAGTAACATGCTATACAGGTTTGTAGCCTAGGAGCAATAGAGAGCCTATGTGTGTAGTAGGCTACACCATCTAGGTTTATGTAAATGCATTCTATCATGTTCGCACAACAGTGAAATTGCCCAGTGATGCATTTCTTAGCATGTACCCCCACCATTAAGTGGCATATGACTGTTACCTTCAATCTGTGGCTTTTAAAAATGGCATCATTTAAAAGGCACTGGTCTAGGCTGGGCGCAGTGGCTTATGCCTGTAATCTCCACACTCTGGGAGGCTGGGGTGGGAGGACTGCTTGAGGCTAAGAGTTTGAGACCAAATGGGCAACATAGTGAGACCTCTGTCTCCAAAAAAAAATAGAAAAATAAAAAATTAACCAAGTGTGGGGACGTGTGCCTGTACGTGCCTGTAGTCCTAGCTACTTGGGAAGCTGAGGCAGGAGGATCCCTTGAGCCCAGGAGGTTGAGGCTGCCTTGAGCTATGATTGGCCATTGCACTCCAGCCTGGGCGACAGAATGAGACCCTGTCTGTAAAAATAAATAAATAATAAAACCACTGGTTTATATATTTTGGAGTAGATAATAAACAATGTATGATCTATTTATCAAGGGCCATCCTGTCCAAGTGGGGATGCTACTGTCTAAAGAGGAATGCCTCCCTTCCCTTAGGATATCCCAGGTGTCACTGTGAGAGTGTCAATCAAGCCATAGATTATATTCTATTAACAATTTCTCTCTTAGTTTTGATACTAAAAAAATCAACCTGAGTAGAAGTTCTAGTACTTCCTTCTTGCCTCCCACGCTTCTCATCAAGGGCTTGTTCTGCATAGCTCCTTGATGTACATCATACACTTTGAAGATCACTGTTGAGAGAACAGGAATATTATCTGGGGATACTTATTACATATTAAAGGTAAACAAAGTAAAGCACCGTTAAAAATGTAGGGGAAGGAGAAATGACTGATTCTTCAACTATGGAGACTGTGAAGAGTTTCCTTCATTTGTTCATTCATGAATTGAGCAATTCCTGCCAGGTGCTGTACTATATACTGGAAACAAAAAGATAACTCACTTAGTCCCTGCCTGTGGGGAGCACCCAGCTTAATGAGGAAGACTGAAATGAAAATGAGAAATTGCAAAATGGTATGTGGGGAGAGGTAGTATGAAACGTTGAGAGGCCCTCACCTTCTGCATGTCTTTGTCACTTCTTAATTGGATTTAATCCAACCCCTGCTTTTAATTGCTACTCTTCCCAAACAACCCCCACTCACTCCCCATTCTTACTGCAGTCTTTTTTTTCATACCCTTATCAATGTATAACATTCTATATAATCTAGTTTTAAAAATATTTATTTGTACTATCTTCACCCACAAAAATGTCAGCTTCCTAAGGGAAGGGATATTTGTGCCTGTTTTGTTCACTGGTGTTTCCCAACCCCAGGAGCAGTTTGCTGAAAGAATGAGTGAAGGAGAGCATGTCTGATTATTAGAGGTTGTAGACAGAGAGGGGAGAATGATCAGGGAGCATGTGATTAAGAAGGTGACATTTGAGCTGGGTCTTACAGGGTGAGTTGAAATTTTAAGGGGGAAAGGCATGCTGTGCAGAAGGCTCAGCACATGCAAAGCATGGAGGTAAGAAGAAGCCCAGTGTGTTCAACCTAAGTGTAAAATGTGCCTTCTTCAACCTGGCTTCGTAACCTCCAAGCTATGCATTGTTGCTTCAGGGTGCAGGTCTACTGTGCTTATATCTTTGTTAGTGAAGCATAGCTATTTTCTTAACACAGGTAAGACCAATTTGAATTCCTGAAAGACACAAGATGTATGTTTTTTCTTAGTCTCCAGTGCCTAATGACTAATTTAAGCTAGCAAAATCATTTATGAAGGTGACTCAGCCATCCATCTAATGAGCTCAGTAGTAGACTGTTCTCTTGTTATTTTGTTTGTTCATTCAAATTAACCTTAAAAAAGCCTACATGTACTCATTTAAATACTGATGTCATACAGAGGGTAGGAAAAAGTGACATTTAATTTAATTTTAATTGCTCCTTTTTGTGATGGCAGTTTAGGTACAATAGGCATAATTTATGTATCACAGATCTAAAATAATTTTTAAAATTTCTAGCTTCAGGTAAATATATAAATTTTATAATAAAAATGAATTGTAAAAATCAATGAAATGATCATTTGAGTCATACCACTATTTGAGATATCCCAACCCAGATGAGTTAAAATTCTTTCTGGAGCTTAAATCAAGCATTTTGGGAAATGGCACTAATTTTTCTCAGGCTCATTCAGGATAATGTTACAGCGGATTAATACTCTGTGATCCAAAAAGCCCAAACCATCTGATATTCCTAAAAGTCCTGGGCATAAAAGCCTGGGCTGTAAGTTTGATTCTTATATCTTTCTCTTAGCTTCACACAATTCCCTGTTCCTAGCCTGGCTCCAACACTAACTAGATCTTATTTGCATGTTGACTTTTGGTCTCGCAATGGACTAAGTGAAATAAGGTGAATTGTTTATACAAATTCATCACTGCTCCCAAAAAAGAAAGCATCTTCCCCACCTCCCATGTAAACACACGTTTGGTGACAAATTCAGCAACTGCTCTTAGAGAGGAATTAACATCAGAAAATTTGAAAATTTATATCATGTGCTAGACTTTGACCTTTGTTTACTTAAACATTGTTCAACCTAAGTGTAAAACACACTGCTGGGACCCTTTTAATTTTTTTTTTTGTTAGATTTTTAATTCAACTATAAAGACAATTCAAGTAAGAAACTTCAGTACGTCGATTTTGTTCTTTGAGTCATTGCACTGTAATTAGCTGAGTTGAGTTTTAAATGCAGTGCAAGAACATCTTTCCTGTCTGTTTATGTCAGAAAAAAATGGCTAATGAGTACTTATCAAAAAGATGAACATTTTTTCATTAGATTAAGTAAAATCAAAACAGATTTATAATGTACTATTATGTTTCAGCTTGGAATAAATTGAGTAAAATAGCTAATATCTTCACAGCTTCCTGAGAATTTATTTGCATGGCAGGATCCACCTCCCCCGCCCCTTCCCCCACACACTTAGACTTCAGGAAAGTGCCCATTTGTGGCAATTTTCTTTGTGGCATCAAGGCACATTCCCAAAGGGTTTGGAATGGCTTTAATATTATTTGTAAAATCTGAATATCTATGAAGCAGATGACAACATTGATTTTCCTTGGGTTTTGCCAGTGTGCTTTGCTACAGTTCTTTAAAATAGTTTTAAAAAATGACTTCCTTCTACTTCCTCATGGTGATGTGTCAGAATGCCACCTGGTACTCAGTGTCATGCAGAGCTTTCTTTATTTTGAAATTTTTGTATGTGTTCAAGCGGATGAACATTAGCTTATGTGTTACCAAAAGATGAAGATGATGAAGGCTGATTCCTTAGGAAAGTTTATGGTAAAAATAGACATTTAAGAAGCTTCTCATTTTAAATGTCACTTGGATGGCAGGTTATTTTCAGGTCATCAAGGACTCTTACTTCCTCTTCCGCTATGTGAAAGTTAAAGTCCATCTTCATCCCAGTGTCTACTTGTAGTTATACAAATATGTGCACATCCACAAAGCAACTGATACGACAAGGCTTTATGTGGGTAAAGAAGAATCTTGTCTTTAAGTTTTTTGAGTTTGCAGTAGAGTGAATGAACAAGAGATAAATTTCCTGTATATGAAAAATGAAAAGTAAACTGCTCTGGACACTAGAGACTTAATTTATTGTAATCATATTACTTTTGTCCACATATCAGATTTTTGGGGAAAACATTTTCATTGAAGTATAACACATTCATACATGTAAGAAGCTTGATGAATTTGAACAAATTTTGCAATGCAACATGCCTATGTAACATCCCCCAATGTAGAATATTAATAGCACTACAGAAGCCTTTATGCCCCTTTTAATCATTATCCTTCACTCAAAAGTAACCAACATTCTGATTTCTGTCACTATAGATTACTTCTGATGTTTGGAACTTAATATAAATGGAATCATACAGTGGGTACTTCTTTGTTTTTAGCTCCTTTCTCTCAAAATTATGTCTGTGAGATTTATTAATGTGATTCTTTGTAGCAGAAAGTCATTATTTTTCATTGTTGTATAGTATTCTATTATATGAATACAACACTATTTATTTATTTATTTATTTATTCATTCATTCATTCATTCATTCATTCATTCATTCTACTAATAATGAATATCTGTATTGTTTCCAGTCTGGGGTAATTATAAACAATGCTGCTGTAGGTGTTCTTGTCTGTGTCTTTTAGTGCACATATGTGTGTATTTCTGTTGTTTCTATATCAAGGAGTGGAATTGCTGGGTCATAGGCTATGCATTTGTACAATTTTAGTAGATACTGCCAAATAGGATTCTAAATTGTAGATACCAACTCATATTCCCACCAACAGAGTGTTGAAGTTCTAGTTGCTCTATACCCTCACCAACACTTAATAACATTTTACTCATTCTGAGGGGATTAAAAAGTTAGTCATTGTGGTTTTAATTTGCATTATTTTGATGACTAATGATGTTTTTCACATTTTATTGTATTTATTGGTCATTTGGATATCCTCTTTCATTAAGCGCCTATTCAAGTCTTTTGCTTGTTTCTTTTAAAGTTGGTTTGCCTTTCATTTTTCTCATTGATTTGTAGGAGTTTTCTATACATTTTGGATATGAGCTGTTTGTTGGACATTTGTATTTCATAGCTTTATAGTCTCTTGATAAACATAAATTCTTAATTTTAAAGAAGTTAGATTTATCAATCTTTTATGGTAAGCCATTTTTAAAAATTGACAAATACAAATTGTGTTTATGTTGTACAACATGATGTTTTGAAATATGTATACATTGTAGAATGACTACCTTGAGCTAATTAACATGTATTACTTCACGTACTTATTCTTTTGTAGTGAGAACCACAAAATGAGGCTTCATATTTTTTCAATTTTTTAATTTCAAAATTCGTTTCAATTTTTTTGTGGTGAGAACCACTTAAAATCTACTCTCTTAGCAATTTTAATAATATAATACATTGTTATTAAGTGTAGTCATCATATTGTACACTAGATCTCTTGAACTTATTCTTACTATCTAACTGAAATTTTATATCCTTTGACCAACATCTCCCAACCCCTCTACTGTGATTTTTGTGTCTTATATTAAGAGATTACTTTGCTCACTTCAATGTTAAGAATATGTCCTATGTTACTTTCAAAAGCGATATTGTTTTTCCTTTTACATTTAGACCTGTAATGCATGTAGAATTGTGTTTTTTTGGCATACTTTGAGGTGTGATAAAATTTCATTAAAATATTAATTATTAAAAATGTAGCATTTTCCACAACTGCATTCTAATGGCACTTGTTTCATAAATTAGGGAGTCTTATATGAATGAGTCTGTTTACTAGACTCTCTATTTTGTTTCATTGATATGTTTTTCTATCATGTGCCAATATCACTATTTTAATTGTCTTACATTTTGTAATAAATCTTGATATTTGGTAATGTAAGTTCTTTAACTTTGTTCTTTTTCATTTTTGTTTTGACTATTCTAAATCTTTTGCCTTTCCATGTAAAATTTAGGATACATTTATTAATTTTTATAGATGGTAGCTGGGATTTTGATAGGGATTACATTGAACCTATAGATCAATAGGGGAGAACCAGCATCTTCACAATACAGGGACATGGTATATTCTTTCATCTATGCAGATCTTCTTTAATTTCTCTCAGCAGTGTTTTGTAGTTTTTAGTACAGCTCCTGTACATTTTTTGGTTTATTTCTAGGTATCTGGTGTTTTGATGCTAAATGTTCTCAGATATTATTATTCTTTTCATTATCCTAATGCAAATTGTTTTGTTTTAAAATGTCATTTTCCAGTTTTTTCATGTTAGCATATATAATTACAGTTGATTTTTAACTATGATGTCTGTATCCAGTGACTTTGATAAATTCACTTCTTAATTTTTTTATTTCATTTTATTTTATTTTTTTGAGACAGAGTTTCACTCTTGTTGCCCAGGCTGAAGTGCAATGGCGCCATCTCGGCTCACTGCAACCTCGCATGCTATTCTGTGATAGCAGTTTCTATCTCAATCTTTATATTTTGCTATAAAACAAATGATAGCAAGTGGCTCTTTAAGGAATGATTTTCATTTGGAGAGATTCAAATATATTTAATGGGCACCCAATAATTTGGATTTTCTATTTTTGTGTGTGTCAGTTTTGGTAAGTTAGTATTTTGAAAAACAAATTTGTCCATCTCATCTAAATTATACAATTTATTCTCTAAAGTTATTCATAATATCTCTTACTTTTTTTTTTTTAAGACAGGAATTCACCCTGTCACCCAGGCTGGAGTACATTGGCAGGATCACGGCTCACTGCAGCCTTAATCTCCCGGGCTCAAGTGATCTTCCCACCTCAGCCTCCTGAGTAGCTGGGACTACAGGAGTGTGCCCAGCTAAGTTTTGTACTTTTTTGTTATACTTTAAGTTCTAGGGTTCATGTGCACAATGTACAGGTTTGTTACATATGTATACATGTGCCATGTTGGTTTGCTGCACCCATTAACTCATGATTTACATTAGGTATTTCTCCTAATGCTATCCCTCCCCCACCCCCCACCCCCACTCCACGCCCGGCTAATTTTTGTATTTTTTGTAGAGACAGGGTCTCCCTGTGTTGCCCAGGCTGGTCTTGAACTCCTGGGCTCAAGCGATCCACCTGCTTTGTGAGGCCTCCCAAAGTGCTGGGACTACAGGCATGAGCCACTTCGTCCAGCCTCTTATTTTTCTAATGCCTTTAAGATCATTATTACTGTCTTATATTAATAAAGATAATATATCATATATATTTCTTATATATTTATTTTTATATTAGTAAATTGTGCCCTTTGTTTTTTCTTTATAGTGTTACTGGACTTTTGTCAGTTCTATTCATTTTTGTTCAAAGGACCAACTTTTGGCTTTGCTGTATTCCTCATTAGAGATTGGCAATATATGGCTAATGAGTCAAATCTAACCCACAATCTGTTTTTGTAAATATAGTTTTATTGGGACATAGCCACATCTATTCATATATGTATTATCTGTGTCTGTTTTTGCACTACAATGGCAGAGTTGAATAGCGGTGACAGATTTTATGATCAACAAAGTCTAAAATATTTACTATTTGTCTCTTTACAGAAAAAGATTGCCTACTTCTCTGCTGTGTTAAATATATTTTTTCTATTTCATTGATTTTTGTCCTGATCCTTATCATTGCTCTTTTATACTTCCTTTGAGTTTAATTTGCTATTTTCTTTCAGGCTTCTTGCTTGAGATTGAGCCTTAGATCATTGATTTCCATCCTTAGATTTTTATTCAACCATTATGTGTTCTCTGAGCGCAGATTAACTGCATTCTATAAGTTTTTATACTCATATTTTCATTATCATTGTTTAAAATTTTTTTCTTATTTTCATTTTAATTTCTTATTTAGTTCATAGATTATTTACATCTTCATCTGTTTGTGTTGCTATAAAGGAATACCTGAGCTGGGTAATTTGTAAAGAAAAGAGGTTTATTTGGTTCATGGATCGCAGGCTGTACAAGAATCATGGAGCCAGCATGTGCTTTTGGTGAGGGCTACAGGCTACTTCCACTCATGGCAGAAAGGGAAGGGGAGCTGATGTGTGCAGAGATCGCTTGGTGAGAGAGCAAGAGAGAGAGGGGAGGGAGGTGTCAGACTCTTTTTAAAAACCAGCTCTAGAGGGAACTAATGGGGTGCTAATAGAACAAGAACTCACTCATTATCTCAAGGAGGGCACCAAGCCATTCATGAGGGATCTGACCACATGACCTGAACACCTCCCATTAGGCTCCACCTCCAACATAGGGGATCAAATTTCAATGTGAAATTTGGAGGGGACAAATAGCATGGCTATATTGATTGATTTTCAGGCATTTGGGGATTAAATTCTTTTTTGCTGTTGGTTTTTAGATTAATTCCACTGTGGGAACATACTGTGTTTGATTTTAATTCTTTGAAATTTGTTTAGACTTGCTTTTGGCCCAATATGTATTTTATTTTGGTAACTGTTCTAAATGTGATGGAAAATAATGCATATTCCACAACTGTTGGATGTTGTGTTATATTGTTCTAATTTTCTATATTTTATTTTCTGCATGTTCTTTCAGCTGAGAGAGGTGTGTTAAAGCTGCCCACTGTGACCGGGAATTCATCTATTACACCTTTTATTTTTGTTAGTTTTTGTTTCATATGTATTTTCTGCTATGTTATAAGAACTTCATGTTGAATTGATCATTTATCTTGATCAACATCTCTCTTTTAGATGTAGTAATATTTTTTGCCTTAACATCTATTTTGTCTTCCATTAGTATATCTATACCAGCTTTTTTTCTTGCTAACATTTGTATGGTGTCTACCCTTTTACTCCCGACTTTTCTGCATCCTTATATTTAATAAGCTGTGGTCTCTTATAAGTGGCACATAGTTGGGTTTAAAAAAATTCCTTTCTGACAATCTTTGCCCTTTATTTGGAATATTTGATAATGATGGAATTATTGCTATTTTTAGTCAAATTCTCTTACTTACACTTTGTTTTATGTTTGTGTCATGTTTTTGCTCCATTCACCTCATATATTGCCTTCTTTGGGATTGAAAATTTTTTTTATTACTTTGTTCTCCCTCTGTTAATTATATGTTCTTTCTACATTATTTTGGTGACTATCCTAGAGGTTACAACATGCATCCTTGATTTGTCTTAGTCAACCTTAAATTAAGGTTGTTATTACTTGCTGAAAAATGCAAGGACCTTACAACACTGTAACTGAATTTACCGTCCTGTTTTTCCTGCTACTCTTGAGGGACATTTTAATTCTGTCTGTATTTTAAACCCCGTAAGATATTATCATTATTGCTTTCAACTGTCAGTATTAATTTAAATTTACCCACTTGCCTACTTTTCCATTGCTCTTCATTCTTTTCTGCATTACTATTCTTTCGTTAAGGATCATTTTCCTTCTGCCTAAAGAGCTCCCTTCGGCATTTCCTTTAGTGTAGTTCTGCTTGAGATGAATTCATTTTTTCAGGTTTTTCATTCATCTGAAAATAACCACTTTGCTTTAATTTTTGAAGGATATTTTTCTCTGCATGTAGAATTCTAGCTTTGCAAGTATTTAAGCACTTTAAAGATGTCATTCTGTGGTCTTCTGTCTTCTGTTGTTTCCATGGAATAAGTCAGATTCTTGTTATTGCTTTGAAGGTCTTTTCTTTTTACTTTGCTTAATTCAAGATTTTTTTTTTTGTCTTTGGTTTTTAGCAGTTTTGTTATGTTTGGCTTTTTCTTTCTTTTGTTTCTGGGTGACGGTCTCGCTCTGTCACTCAGGCTGGAGTGTAGTGGTGTGATCATAGCTCATTGCTGCCTCAAACCTCCTGGACTCAAGCGGTCCTCTCACCTCAGCCTCCTGAGTAGCTGGAACTACAGGCATGTGCCAGCACTCCTGGCTAATTTTTTTTTTTTTTTTACAGAGATGGGCTCTCACTATGTTTCACAGGCTGGTCTCAAACTCCTGGCCTCAGGTGATCTTCCTGCCTTGGCCTCCCAAAGTTCTGGGATTTCAGACATGAGCCACTGTGCCTGGCCATGTTTGGTTTTCTTTAGTTTGTCCAGCTTGGGTTCATAATGATTCTTAAATCTGTGGTTTTATATCTTGGGAAGAATTTTCATGTCAAGTTTTGGGAAATTCTCTGCCAATATCGCTTCAAACATTGTTTCTTACCTATTTTTTCTCTTCTGCCTATCCAGAAATTTAATTATACCAATTATGTTGTATTTTCTAAAGTGGTTTCCTGTATGTGTCTTATGCTTTATTTTGTATTTTAAAATTTTTAATCTCTCTGTGCCTCACTATGAATATTTAGACAGACTTCTAGTTAATTCTGTCTTCTACTGTGACTGATCTACTCTGAAACTATCTTTTAATCTACTATAATGATTGTATTTCATAGATTCCAGTGCTCTGGCAAAATTATCAAATGTTTATGTTTTCTTAAACACATTAATGGCAGCTTTTGGGGGTAACTTTTAATATTTTTGTAATTTCAAGGTTAAGAAAACTTGTAGGAATGGTAGAAACAATTACTGTCTATCTTCTACTTAGATTCACCAATTTTTAATGTTTTTCCTCATTTGCTCAATTTCCCCCCCTCCATGCACAGGTATTCCTCTCTCCATTATTTCTTTCTGAACCATTTGACAGGAGGTTGTAGATATCATGCCTCTTTATTCCTAAATTCTTCAGTTTTCATTTATGAAAAACAATACATTTCTCTCATTATAACCACAGCACAACTATCAAAATTAGGAATTTTAGTATTGATATTGAAGGGAAGTATATACAATTTTTTCCCCATCCTCATAAGTTCATAGTTGGGGCAAACTCTTGTAACAAAAGATTAACAAAAGAAAAATCAACAAGTAAATTAACCCATGCAGTGCACGCTGTGTGGGAGAAAAGTAACTCAAAAGTAGTGGCTTAGAGTCCTGACTTATATCAGATCTTCAACAGACAGCGATAAATTTTAGAGAGGTGACAAGACAAAAGGGGAAAGCAGTCCCAGGCTTTCAAAGGCAGAAAACCTGTGGGAAGGAGTAAAGTTTGCTCCCAGATTCTCCTGCCACCATCTCTGACCTGGTAAGTGTTACCTGCATTAAAGGAGAATTTATGTTCAGTCTTTGGGTGGGATAGGGGTGAGGAGGGGGAGAAGAGTAGAAGACCTTTTGTCTTTGTTTATCTCTGTCCTGCCAAACAGAGAGAAGGCAAAGAGCTCACCTGCATCTTAATTGTCTTCAGCTCAATGATCCTTCATATTTAGGGAAAAAATATTCTGATTTCCCTTAATATAATACTATCATCTGATCTATATTCTAAATTCAAATTTTATCAGCTATTCCAATAATCTCCCTTATCCCTCATCTATCCAGTATGTCCAGTATGTAGTCCAGGATTATGCATTGCATTTAGTTGTCATATCTGTTTAGTCACTCTTAGTTGGGACAGTTCTTCAGTCTTTATTTGTCTTTCATGATCTTGGTGTTTTTGAAGAGTACGGGACAGTTAGGATGCAGAATGTTCCTCAGTTTTCATTTGTCTGATTTTTTTCATCATAGTTAGATTCAGATAATGCATTTTTGGCAGGAATAACACAGAAGTAGTGTCCTCATATTGGGAGGCACATGATATTCATAGGATAAGTTATTGGTGATATTAACCTTGACAACTTGGGTAAGGAAGTACCTGCCAGTGTGCTCTGCCATAAAGTTACTATTATTCATTTGTAATGAGTAAATAATTTGTGGAGAGATACTTTGAGACAGTTTAAGTACTGCGTTTCTCACAAAACTTTTACCCACTATATTTTAGCATCCATTGATAATTCCTGACTGAATCAATTATTACTCTGATGTTTGCAAAATGAAGATTTTCTAACTCCATGATCCCTTCTACATTTATTACTTGGCATAGTGATGTAAATAGTAACTTTTCTTTTATCCTATTTATTAATTTTAGTAAGACATAGGAATTCTTATTTAATTCAGAGGGTTATAATCCACTGATCTCATTCTTAAGTTTGATGTTCAAATGTTCCAGATGCAGCCATTGGGAGCCTACATTTAGTGGGCTCTTGTGAAAGTTTGGCATACCCCATTGTTGTTTGAGCATTTCTTTACTTTCTGGCATGACATGATGTTCCAGGATCATCTTTTACTTTATCTGCCCCAACACTGGAGCCAGTCATTTCTTCAAGAAGTCCTGATTCCTTTTTGTGAAGAATGGTATTTAAAAATTAAAATCTGGTCATTAAGTGTGCTTGTTTTGCTACTGGAGTGCCATTGTGTCTAGGCTCAACAAGGCTAGGAAACCTCTCTGTCTCTCTCTATCTCTCTTTAATCCATGAGTTCATATTGAAATTACCAAATCCAATCTAACACCAGAAGGTTCATTTCAGTCTTTCTACTTTCTATACTTGTGAGTACCTTCTCCAGGTGAGAAACTTGGCTCACACTATCCTCATTGTATTTACTTGTTTGCCCAGACTTAGATTCAGATTTAGATCATATAAGAAAACAGATTTAGAATTGCTAATCCTGCCACTATTAAAAAACCCCCACCTATCTATTAACCTGTGTTCAATATTTGTTAACAAATCTTTTTGACTTTAGGCTAAGGGGATATAGTTTTCAATAGTTATTTTCTTCCCTTCAGTGTGACTATGGTATTCATTTGAAAACAGTTATATATCTCTTTATGTTCCATTTTAGGTTTCTCCCTCCCCATTGTTATTAATTTAACATCATCATCATCATCACATCATCATCATCATCATCATTTTGTGTACATAAAACATTAACGTGGTTCCAAAACCCCAAATCACACAAAAACGTACATTCAGAGGAGTGTCACTCTCCCTTCTTCATCACATCCATTTTGTTAACATACCCTCATTAGTTTCATGTTTAATCTTCCTGATTTTCTTTTTGTAAATATAAATAAATACATTTATATTATCTTCTTTTCTTTCTTACAAAAAATAGCATACTATATATGCTCTTTTTAAGTTTTTATTTATAGCTGCTTAGTCCTCCATTGTGTGAGTGGAACATAGTCTATTCAACCAATCTCCTATGTATGTTTGTTCCCAATATTTTTTCATCAGAAAGAGGCATATACCTTGTCCATAGGTATTCTTGTATTGCTGCAGGTATATCTTCAAGGTAAATTCTTAGATGTGAGTCAGGGGGTAAACTCACTTGTGGTTTTGTTAGATATTATCTGATTTCCATTTTCCCCCTTAATGGTGGGGACATTCCATTCCTACCAACAATGCATGATATGAGTATCTCTCTCTTTTTTTTTTTTTTTTGAGATAAGATTTCACTCTGTGTTCCAGGCTGGAGTGCAGTAGTGTGATCATGGCTCACTGCAGCCTCTACCTCCTGGGCTTAGGCAATCCTTTCATGTCAGCCTCCCTCGTAGCTGGGACCTCAGGCACCATATGTGGCTAAATATTTTGTATCTCTTGTAGAGACAAGGTCTTCAAGTGATCCACCCGTCTCAGTCTCCTAAAAGGCCGAGATTACAGGTGTGAGCCACTGCGCCTGGCCAGGCTTTATAATTTTTACTCAATCTATTAATTGAGAAATGGTATCTCAGCATAGTTATAATTTGCATTTCTCTTACTGTGAGTGAAGTTGTCCATCTTTTCATATGTTTAAAGAGAATGGTAAAACCTTTGTGAGTTGTGTGTTTGTGACTTTTATTTTTCAACTGGAATTTTGGTCTTTTCCTCCCTGTTTTAGAGTTCTTTATGTATCCAGAATGGATATCAGGCCTTTATCTGAGATGCATTTTGATCATTGTTATTTTGAAGTCTGAGTGTTTGGGACTATTTTTATTGTCTTTTTAAAAAATTCTTTTGGGTTTTCGTCATTTGTACCAATTTCCTGGTAAGTCTTAGTGTTTTTGTTGTTGTTGTTTTTAGAGACAAGGCCTTGTTCTATTGCCTAGGCTGGAGTGCAGTGGTACAGTCACAGCTCACTGCAGCCTCAAACTCCTGGGCTTAAGCGATCCTCCTGCCACAGCCTCCTGAGTAGCTAGGACTACATGCACATACCACCATGCCTGGCTAATTAAAATAATTTTTTTTTTTTTGTAGAGACAGGTTCTTGCTATGGTGCTTAGACTGGTCTTAAATTCTTGACTTCAAGCAATCCTCCTGCCTTGGCCTTGCAAAGCCCTGGGATCCACAGGTGTGAGTCACCGTGCCCGGCCTGACTTTGTAGTTTTCAATTGAATGCCAGACTTTCTAATAAAATGTCGCAGAGGCTGTAAAGATGTTATTTTCCTCTGGAGATAATTTGGCTGACAGGTGATATGGATAGATAACCTTGCTCAGGCTGGTCAATGTCAGGTCTGTCTTCACTCTAAAGGAGTAGTGCTTCTCAGGTCCCAGCTGAAAGTCTGAGGTTTTGGCATTCCTCCTCTGCAGCACTGAAAGCGAATTTTTCTTTTTTTTTTTTTTTTAATCATCCTCAGCACTCTAAGACTCCTATTTTCTTCTTAGGTTTTTTGCCTTGTTGCAGTTGCTTTCTGTCGGTTTCTCTGTCCCATTCTGAGCAGGTGCAGCTGAGGAGTCAGCAGATACCTTGAGGGGAAGTTGCATTATTGGGCTCACTTGTCTGCAGCTCACTCTTCTCCAGGATGTTGGCCATTCAATTTTTTCTTCTCTCCCAGCACAGCAAGACCCACCACAAGCTCTAAGTTTCTGCTGTCTCTTCAGCCTTTATTCCTTACACGATGAATTGACAAATACCCCAAGGAGACAGAGCAGAGGCAATTGCAAAGCTCACCTCTGGGTGTCACTGTCCCCAGGGCTGCAGCCTGTGAAGTCCTACTGCCTTGATTATTTCCTGATACCTTCCAACAGCACTTCTTTTACATTTTATCCAGCTTTGAGAGTTGTTCTCAAACAAAGAGGTTGTTCTGATACTAGTTATTCCATCATAGCTAGTAGTGTCAGTCATCTTTTCACTTAGCACATTTTATTAAATTTCTATGGAAATGAGAGAACACAGTCAAATTGACAAAGCATTTTAAAATTGACAAGGAAATTGGCTTGCTTGTACATTGGTGGGGAGGGGATACATTGGTACTGCCTTTCTGGAGGGCATTCATTTATATCAAAAGCCGTAACAATTCACTTGCCCGTTGACTCAGCAATTCTGCTGCTAGGAATTTATCCTAAGAAAATAATGGTGAATATATGTGAAGATACATTTAAAAAGATTTTCATCCCATGACCAAAATCAGAATAAAAACCTTAAATATGCAACAATTGGGGACTTAATAACTTGTGGCTCTTCAATGCCATGGAATATAATAAAATTCAATGTTGCAAATGATGTAGAAGAATATTTCAATATATTAGTGATCCATTGTTAAGTAAAGAGATTATAAAACAACACATACAGTATGACCCCATTTAAAAATGTATATACAGACTAGAGCAATGCACATGAAAGTGTTAATAATGGGTATTGTATTGTTGTTGGATTTTCTTCCTTATGTTTAAGCATATTTAAAAACTTTTCTAGGCCGGGCACGCTGGCTCACACCTGTAATCCCAGCACTTTGGGAGGCCGAGGAGGGCGGATCACCTGAGTTCGGGTGTTCAAGACCAGCCTCACCAACGTGGAGAAACCCCATCTCTACTAAAAATACAAAACTAGCTGGGCATGGTGGTGCATGCCTGTAGTCCCAGCTGCTCAGGAGGATGAGGCAGGAGAATTGCTTGAACCTGGGAGGCGGAGGTTGTGGTGAGCCGAGATCGCGCCACTGCACTCCAGCTTGGGCAACAAGAACGAAACTCTGTCTCAAAAAAACAAACAAACAAAAAACACAAAACTTTTCCATAGGGAATGACTTTTTTCTAAAAAAAAATTAATACACACACACACACACACACACACACACACAAAACATATAGTTGATAGGCCCCATTGATGTTTACTGGCAAACATTATATTTTATACTGGTGGCCTGAGTCTATTTTTATACTCTTAGTAGTTTTACAGATTTCATCAGAAACAGTACTCACCTTGAAAATACTTGATGGGCCAGGTGCGGTGGCATAAGCCTGTATTCTCAGCTACTTGGGAGGTTGAGGCGGGTGGATCACCTGAGCCTGGAAAGCTGCAGTGAGCCGGGATCGCACCACTGCACTACAGCCTGGGCGAGAGTGAGACCCTGTTTCAAATAAATAAATAAATAAAAATAAATAATAAAAAGTAAAATACTTTGTGGAATAAAAGACCTCCATACAAACATACTTTATTCCCCACTAGTCAGATTCAAACAAAGACTTCCCCTGTTTCTGGCAGTGTGTACCAACACCTTTTTAGGAAAGAGTCATTTTAGAAAGTAAGTTTATGACCAAGGTCTTAGATTATAAGGGAAGATTTACTTTCTAGAAAAAAAGAATTTACTTTTGAAGCCAGTAGCCAACATTTAATGCAGTTACTTTTGTTAGACTAAAATCAAGATTTCAGAAGAACATTCTTATCCATTGTTGCTTTTTTTCTTGAAGGTATTTTCCAAAGCTGCAATCACTATGACCTATTGGGATTCAAAGCTCCTTCCTAAGAATGCCCATTCCTTGGTTACATCATCAAAGGACCAGACAGTTGAGGCCTACCATTGGCACCACGAGGCCTATGGGTACTTCTTGCCCATCCAGACAAGGTGGCAGGACAATGACCAGTATGGCCACGTCAACAACGCCGTGTACTACAGCTACTTCGACACGATTATCAGCCTCTACCTCATCAGGTCGCTCAAGTTCTGCAGCTCCAGCCCCTCTCTTTGACTCTCTGACATGCCCTTGGTTGGGAGTTCATGTAGGGAATTCCGGGAAGAGGTTCCCCCAGTTTTCCTCTGCTAGTGCACCTCTTTTGTTGAGCCATGTGAATATCAGACCCTTCCAGAGGAGAACAGCAAACTGACACGTGAGTGAAAAACGCGCCGCCCTGTTGCTCCTGCAGTCTCAGGTGTTCATATGTCTTGGTCCTTTGCACTAAATTGTCAGCAAATGTGTAGGCTTTGAATCTCAAATAAGCACCTACACAATAGACCACATAATGTTCAGCCCCTGTGCAACTTGAGCAGACATTAACATCAACCCTCGAGGCCTTTTTGTGGGAAAAGCAGCTGCTTCCGCCACAGAGGGCACACAAGGGGGAGGAGAGAGAGAGCAAAGATATAAAGATGTTTATTATATCCTCTGGATGCCATGATGACATGATTGCCATTTGATAGGTATGTTTGCAAGGCTGGTTAGTGTATATTTGGTCAATATAATTCTGTATATGAAAGATTGTGTCATATAGAGATTGTGTAAACCCTAGCTCTACCCTGCCTTAGCTGGGAAGTTTTGATCAAATTGTTTAACCTTATAGAGTCTTCTGTAAAAATAACTCACATTTATTGAGAGCTTTCTCTGTGTCTAGCACTGATGCATTTTACATGGGCTTTCTTATTTTATCCCAACGAGAGAGTAGCACAGACTGTCAGTGCAAGGAACCTATTTTGCCTTTTTGCCTGTACTCTTTTGGGGGCATGCTGGCCTGTCTGTCAACTGCCATTAGCAACATTTCTTTGCCTAAGGACTTTCTCTGGCTACCAGAGCTCCTTTTATGGGCAGACCAGAAGTTCCGAGGAATGAATGCCCCTAGAAGCAGTTTTCGACTACTGACTGATGAGAGCTGGTGTATAAATACCCCACCTTCCTTCCCTCTTGGGGGAGATAATTCTAAGGTGCATACCTTACACAGGCTCCCAGGTTTCCCTGGTGGGAATCAGCTCTAGTTAACCAGACTGATAGTTTTTATTTGAGGTAGAATTTATATAGCATAAAATCCAGCATTTTCACTATTTTAAAGTATACAGTTCAGTGGTTTTTAGTATATTCACAATGCTATACAACTATCGCCACAATCTAATGCCAAAACATTTCTATCGCTACCCTCCCCCCCAACAAAAAAAAACCTGTATCTATTAGCAGCCACTCTCAATTCCCCTCTCCTCCCATCCCCTGGCAATCACTAATCTAATTTCTATATCTTTGGATTTGCCGATTCTGGACATTTCATGTAAATGGAATAATATTTAGTGTTTTGTATCTGGCTTATTATACTTGGCATGAAGTTTTCAGGGTTCACCCATGTTGTAGCATGTATTGGTACCTTATTCTTTTATACGACTGAATAATATTCCATTGTATGAATATGCCACATTTTGCCTATTCATTCATAAGTTGATGGGCATTTGGGTTGTTTCACTTTTGGGCTATTCTGAGTAATGCTGCTGTGAAGATTTCATGTACAAGTTTGTATCTGGACATGTTTTCAATTTTGGGTATGAAGGTAGAATTACTGGGTCATACGTTAAACTCTTTGTTGAACTTTCTGAAGAATTGTCGGACTGTTTTCTACCGTAGCTGTGTGTATTAGTCTGTTTTTGTACTGCTGATACAGACATAACTGAGACTGGGTAATTTATAAAGAAAAATAGCACTTTGGGAGGCCGAGGCGGGCGGATCACGAGGTCAGGAGATCGAGACCATCCCGGCTAAAACGGTGAAACCCCGTCTCTACTAAAAATACAAAAAATTAGCCGGGCGTAGTGGCGGGCGCCTGTAGTCCCAGCTACTTGGGAGGCTGAGGCAGGAGAATGGCGTGAACCCGGGAGGCGGAGCTTGCGGTGAGCCGAGATCCCGCCACTGCACTCCAGCCTGGGCGACAGAGCGAGACTCCGTCTCAAAAAAAAAAAAAAAAAAGAAAAAAAAAGAAAAATAGGTTTAATGGGTGCAGTTCCACATGGCTGGGGAGGCCTCACAATCATAGTGGAAGGTGAAAGGCATTTCTTACATGGCAGCGGCAAGATAAAATGAAAATCAGGCAAAAAGGGTTTCCCCTTATAAAACCATCAGATCTTGTGAGACTTACTCACTACTACGAGAACAGTATGGGGGAAACAGTCCCCATGATTCAAATATCTCCCACCTGGTCCCTCCCACAACACATGGGAATTATGGGAGCTGCAATTCAAGATGAGATTTGGGTGGGGACACAGCCAAACCATATCACTGTGCCTTTTATATTCCCACCAGCAATGGCTGAGGGTCCCAGTTTCTCCATATCCTCACCAACACTTGTTATCATCTTTTTGATAATAGCCATTCTGGTGTTTGTGAAGTAATATTTCCCTGATGACTAATGATGGTGAGCATCTTTCCATGTGCTTATTGGACTTTGGTATATCTTCTTTGGAAAAATGCCTGTTCAAATCCTTTGCCTATTTTTAAATTGTTTTTTTTTAATTGTTGGGTTGTAAGAGTTCTTTGTATATTCTGGATACTAGGCCCTTATCGTATATATGATTTATAAATATTTTCTCCCATTTTGTGTTCACTTTCTTGCTCGTGTCCTTTGACACACAAGAGTTTTTTATTTGGATGACAGAGTGGTAACTTTTAAAAGCCAGGTGTGGTCGAGGGCTCCTGTAATCCCAGCTACTCCAGAGGCTGAGGCAGGAGAATTGCTTTAACCCAGGAGGTGGAGGTTGCAGTGAGCTGAGATCGTGCCACTGCACTCCAGCCTGGGTGACAGGAGTGAAACTCTATCTCAAAAAAAAAACACAAATGCATTATTGATTATTTTCCCTTCTTGTTTCTTCCTCCCTTCCACAGGAGCACTTCATCTACAAAAAGTACTTTATAATTCTTACTCAGATTGCAGATTTGCTATGTTAAGCAACTAAACTCTTTTTTTTTCCTAAAGGATAGGTATAAAACCACTTTCACTTTGAAAGTGGCTGTTTCTCTCTTGTCCTGAATCTTCACACTAATTTTACTTTACGTGCACCTGCCCGTAATTTCTGTAGAAGTAGTTTGCACTTGCTTACTTGTGAATAATAAACTATCTTTTTCAGCACTCAGTTTAGCTTTTAGGACAATGTATGCTTTCTACTTTGAAATCCACAGCAGGAGGTAAAAACAGCATTTGAGGTTATTTATAATTTCCCATCATTTGTCACATAGGGCAACTTGACAGTGAATTTTCTAACTCACTCAGGGCTACTCACTCTCTCTTAGGAAGGACCAGCCTTGTAGCTTCTTTGGGTTGACTCCTGGGTTACCTCAATACGAGTGAGAGCTAGTGCTGTTTGGCTTTTGTGGCTGTCAAATGTCTCCCATTCACAAAGGGGCCTGTGGAAAGACAATGTGCAGTTAATGGTGGTTGAGGCCTTTATTCAGTGGAGAGCATGTCTGTGCGATCCCGTGTTATAAACTGCTTCACCCAGGGTCAGCTTCTGCCAGTTTTGCGGGTAGAGATGGGGCTAGGCGGCAGGTAAGGAAGAATTCCTGATGGAATAATGCTCTGTCACAGGTAGAAATCTCCAGGTGTTACACACTGGCTCTTAAATTGTGAAAATACCCTGACTGTTGTGCCCAGGGACTTTGTAGTCATGATTTCATAAAGAAAATGGATTTACCTTTAAACTTGTTCTATGAGATCTGCAGACTGTTTAATAGGTTGTTCGTGGACTGTTGGAAGCAAACCTAGCACCCCTTGAAGGTGTGAGAGTGTGGGAAGAGCAGGTGAGGAGCGGCGAATTGCCTCATTTCGGGCAATGAGAGGAAGAGGAGGGTCGGGCCACAGTGATGCATCACAGACTGTGGTGCCCTGTAGCCTCCTTTTCTCCTGGCATTCTAAGGGTGGCCAAATACCCATGGGGTAATCAATGAGCCACACATCATTTCCTAGAACATTCCTTTTTGGGGAGGGGGGTTTGTCCAGGAGGGGGTGCCAGGGGGATGTGGAGGACGTGGCAGGGAGGGGAGAAAGACGGTGGAACTGGCCACAGCCTGCCCCAAGTTCCCATCACTTTGACATGCGGAAGGGGTTAAGTCATTCTTGAACAGTTTATCGCTCATCAATTGTAATTAAATATGTTTATATTAAATTATGTTCTGTAATTAATGTAAAATCCTTTAGCCTATGCTGTTATTAGAACCAGATGCTGAAGTACCAACAATATTTCAACATGACTGTGCTGCCTCGCCAGCTGTCTAACTGTAATTACTTTAATCTCAGCTTGTTATCTAATTATCACCTTTGTAAAGGGAAAAGTACTCTCTAATGCTTACTGATTGTTTCAGATGATGATGAAGAGCGGGGAACAGCTGTCAGAGATCGTGGGCCCTGCTTATCACAACGAAGGAACTTATCCTGAAGTGTATTCAGGGCCAAACTGCCAAAAGAAAGCTGTGCCAGTAGGGAACGGGGGACTGGCCAGCGAGGGGAGACAGGTGGTGTGGTGGTGAAGGGTGCAGCCCCCATAGATAAACTGTCAGGTGACACCTGCTTTCTCCAGCAATGCCTGGGAACAAGTTTCTTAATCTGTCTAAGACTCAGTTGCCTCATCTGTAACATGGAAATGGTAAGAATTCTAGACTCTACCTCACTGGATTGTTATGAGGATTAAATGGGATAAGGCACCCGAAGCTCTGAACGCAGTGCTTGACAAAATGTGCAAGTTTAGTCATTGTTAACTATTCTACCTTAAAAGAAATCAGTGTTAGTTTTCTCCATTTCCATCTTAGCCTCGATAGGCAAATCTGAAACAATGAAAATGGGCATCTAGATGCCAGCAACTTGGCATTATCAGTTTGTTTTACAAATTATGTTTAAGTTCTCTTTGTTAGGGACTGATATTTACCCTTGCATTACTTATTCAAAAATAGTTCACCAAATGAGCCAACAGTATACGTAAATATTGTCAGGGAAATCTTGAAACTCCTAAGGAGGATAGACTGTTTTGGAATATTCACTGGTATGTATGTATGTATCTGCATGTCAGCCATTGATGCGGTAACTGCAGTTCTTTCCTAAATAGCCATTGAAGCAGATTTCCTTAGGATGTTTATTAAGCTTTTTCATATTCTCTCATGCTTTACCTCTCACGGCCTGCACCCCCATCAGGGGAGAGTTGGCACCAGATCTCCCTGCCGTGCAAATAGTGGAAGGCTAGACCACTTTTGGAGAAGGATCTACAAGTAGGAGGGGGCAGGGCTAAGGGGAGTGGACTGAGCCAATGAGAAAAGGCTAGGCCATGGGAGATGGCTGGGTTACTGGGATAAGCCTAGACTACTAGCAAGGTCTGAGGGAGTAGAAAAGAATCCCGATCTTCAGGTACCAAGTAGTCAGTACTTAGTCCCTTTGAGGGCAGGAAGTAGGGGGCCTCTTAAAAGATAAACATTTTACTCAGGTAGTAGAGAGAAAGGAATAGGAGACAGAAAAAAAAAAAAGAGGTAGGAAAGCACAGATCAAAGAGCCCAGAACAGACCTTTGCAAAAGAGATAAGAGAGGAGGCAGGAGAGTAGATGAAGTGCTTGGGCTACTTCAGAGGTGCCTCAGTTCCTATGTCGACTCATTCTCTTTGATAGCCATGTGACCTCAGTGTTAGGGTTTTTTTTTTTTTTTGAGACAGAGTCTCACTCCGTAGGAGTGCAGTGGCGCGATCCCGGCTCACTGCAACCTCCGCCTCCTGGGTTCAAGCGGTTCTCCTGCCCAGCTAATTTTTGTATTTTTAGTAGAGACGGGGTTTCACCATGTTGGCCAGGATGGTCTCGATCTCTTGACCTTGTGATCCACCCACCTCAGCCTCCCAAAGTGTTGGGATTACAGGTGTGAGCCACCGTGCCCGGCCAGCCTTAGGGTTTTTAATTAATTTCTTTAAAATATTGTATAGCTCCCTGTGTTAGGCATAATGACTAAGTGTAATAATATTTGCAAAGTACATAATAAGTGGTCAGTAAACTGTAGACTTTATTACTAGGTAGGACCAAAGCTAGGGGAGTATGCCCCAAACAGGACAATCAGGATGGTGAGGGAGGAGTCAGTGAAGTGAAAGACCTGGAAATATCTTTTCTAACAGCTGTGGACATACACATGGAGCATGTCAGCTGGGGTCCAGTCAAGAAAACAGAAACTTCTCTAGGTCTTTCAAACAGAAGGAGTTGAATACAGAGATTTGGCAACACAGTTATTGGAAGAACTCAAAGAGCAAACAAAAAGACAGTGATATAATACAGAGATTGGCAACTGCAGAAAACCTTACTTTTAGTGCTGGGGGAACAACAGAGAGAACATAATATTACCAGAGCCCAGAACTTCAGAGAATGGGATCCTGGGTGGGTGCTGGGACCCTGGAGGAAGGGCTGTGCTGAGTCAGTGCTGGGAATGAGGAGGGGATGCTAAGTGCTGGGGCTGGGATGGAGGAGGCTGTTATGAGCTGCCGGGGAAGCTGGCGCCCATAGCTGACTGCTGCTGGAGGATTTCTGACAGAGCTGGAATAAGGAAGAGTCCTTCCTTCCCCTCTTCTTGCCTTCCAAACGTCCCCAGTGCCTCCCACTGCTAGGACCAAATCAGAAGCTAGCTAGCAAGGGGGCTTGGGGGGATCCTAGTGCCCCTAAAATAAAAGCAGATCATGGAAGGGTAGGACTGGAGCTAAGAGCAAGCAGGCAGATGACCTTCCTGTGGAGGGAGGCTGCCTGGTGTCCTGTCCCTTTCTCTGCAGCAGCTCCTCATAGCATCCCTGCCCGCTGTCCTTCAGTCACTGGAAGAAGGAACACGGATTTGTCTTACGTGATTAACTAGTGGCTCTTACTAGACTTTCCAGGTCTGCCACTACCTACAGCCATTCTAGGGTGACTCAGGACAGGCTTATTTTAGGTCTCTCTTTACCCCACCAGCCCAACCTGGCATTTTGGAAGGAGGGCAAGTAGCCTGTTATTGATTTAATTAAGAGTTGCCTTAAAAAATTCTTTTCAAATGAAAAGCAAGGATTAGATCTATATTTTAATTTCACATGGCAGCAAAGAGCAAGTCTGCTTTTAAATAAGTAAAAGCAACTCAGCTTTTTTTTTTTTTTTTTTTTACCTGTAGGAAGCAGCACCACTTAGCTGTTAAAGAGCTTGGGCTGAAACCAGAGAAATGTGTCTGGTCCCTGCTCTATAACTAGTATAACTAGTGTGAACCAAGGTATTTAGCCTTTCTCTGCCTCAGTTTCCTCATTTGTTTAAAGGAATGAATGAGTCTTTCCTTGTGAGGTCTAGCTGGAATAATGTTTATAATAATCTCTTAACACGGTGCCTGACAATCAAAGAATGATGGCCATTATATTAATATAATTTTTTTTCTTTAGAGACAGGGTCTTACAGTGTTGTCCAGGCTGGAGTGCAGTGGCACAATTACAGCCCACTGTAACCTCAAACTCCTGGGCTCAAGCGATCCTCCCACCTCAGCCTCCTGAGTAGTGAGGACTACAGGTGCAAGCCACCATGTCCTGCTAAATTTAAAAAAATTTTTATGTTGCCCAGGCTGATGTTGAACTCCTGGCCTCAAGTGATCCTCCTGCCTTGGCCTCCCAAAGTGCTGGAAATAGAGGCCTGAACCACTGCACCCAGCCCATTATAGAACTGATACGATTCCTATGTCATCTACTGGATTACCTTTTCCCTCCTCTTGGAGCTAGTCAACAAGTTTTTAGAGAGTGCCAGAGGGAAGCAACACCTTATAACTGAATTCTGCAGCATCATGCTCTAAAGCAATACACATACAGAAAACAAGATACCCTCATTGGAGAAGCAGCATGACCTCTCTGACTCCAGAGGAAGCCAAAGCTCCAGAGGAAGCCAAAGCTTGCAGAGGGTGGGTGCCGACCTCCTTCATCAGGATCAAGCAGCCTGGCCTTGTGTAGAGTTTAGATCCATTTTATTGGTTCTGTCTACATATGGGCAAAGGAAAAAGTGGGCTTATCTGAAATCAGTCAACCAGAAAGCTCTGCTAACTGTTGTTTCTTCACTTATCAGTGCAGTAATAACTGATGTTTGTGGCAATGAACCTGGAGCCCCACGAGAGCCTAAAATATGTTCCAGCTTACGGCATTTGAGTGCCTTACAGTTCTTTGAAAATCAGACAGATGTGTAGTGGAAGTTAGGTCATGCTTAGGTGAGCAAACCATCATTCCGAGCATTTCCCCAGGTGAGACGTGTGATTCACAGCTTCTCGGCTTTGCACGTGCTGGGACTGCGCTGCCCCCAGGGCCTTCTGGGGAAGCTAGTTGAGCATCTTCTCTCCCAGTGCTTTCCCTGACCCTCCCACAGGCAGAGCCACTTCCTTTCCTCACCCCATCGCGTGACCCAAGGAGTCATAGGGCAGCATTTCCCCCACTGGGGTGTGGGTTAATTTGCATGTCGATCTCCCCCAGTAGACTGTGAGCCCCTCGAGGGAGGATAGTATCTTGATCAGTATATTACCTTGCCTGGCATATATTTTGGCCTGAGTGAATGTTTCTTGAAAGAACCAAAGTAACTCGCTCTCGACCTTGCTGGATCACCCAGGACACGCTTTTCCAATGGTATAAAGAAGTGTTGTCTACCGGGCTGTGCAGCAAGTCTTCCATGATTGTTCTTGCCACACATTACTGGATCCTCAGACCCGGAAACCACAAGTCAGGCCGACTAGGGAGACCTCATTAGAGCACCCAGTGGACTCTCACTGCTATGGCCACAACTCAGCTGTGGCTGTTTTAGCAGCAGCAGGAGCAGAAGACAGGAGCTGGCATATCCCAGGCAGGCAAAGGGGTGGCTCTTTCATGTCAGGAATGCCCAGGTGCAAAGAGGGTGGCTTTAGGAGCAGAGGCTCCCACTGCTCATCAGAAGAACATAAATGGGACAAACTTCACATAAACTCCCTTCAGTAAAAGGTACATACCAGGCTCTGGGGATATTCTTTGTTACAGCATCTTTGTCTATTGAAGGAAATATCCTAAAATGAGAGAAATAACCCAGCATCAGAGAACTTAAGGAAACCTCTGCCTGGAGCCTCATGTGCCATCACTTCCACTGTAGTTTCTTCGTCTCCTGCAATAGTAAACTGCCTGTGACCACCTGCTTCTCACCTCTCTGTCTTTGGTTAAACCATTGCCTCTAGCTGGAATATTCTTGCTCCTGTTCTTCTGCAGTCTCTTTCTACCTTTGTCTGATTATACCAACCACCACCCCTCAAACAGGATTGTGCCCATATCCTGTTTTCCATAGGACTCTGGATTTTCCATATCAGGAGTCCACAAACTTGTTTTTTTGTTTGTTTGTCTTTTTTTTTTAGACATAGTCTTGCTCTGTCGCCCAGGTTGGAGCACAGTGGCATGATCTCGGCTCACTGCAACCTCTGTCTCCTGGGTTCAAGCGATTCTTGTGCCTCAGCCTCCCGAGTAGCTGGGATTACAGGTGTGCGCCACTACACTTGGCTAATTTTTTGTATTTTTAGTAAAGACGGGCTTTCGCCATGTTGGCCAGGCTGGTCTCAAATTCCTGACCTCAAGTGATCATCCTGCCTCAGCCTCCAAAAGTGCTGGCCCAGGCATAAGCCCCAGTGCCTGGCCCACAAACTTTTTCCATAAACAGTCAGACAGTAAATATTTTAAGCTTTGTGGGCCATACATAGGTCTGTGTTGCACATACTCAGTTCTGTTTCTGTAATAGGAAAATAGCCATAGACAACATGTACATGAATAACATGGCCATGCTCCAATAAAATTTTATTATAGGCTGGTGCGGTGGCTCATGCCTGTAATCCTAGCACTTTGGGAGGCTGAGGTGGGTGGATCGCTTGAGCCCCGGGGTTTGAGACCAGCCTGGGCAACATGGTGAAATCCCATGTTTTCGAAAAATACAAAAATTAGCCAGGTGTGGTGGCAGGCACCTGTAGTCCCAGCTACTCAGGAGGCTGACATGGGAGGATCACCTGGGCCCAGGAGGTCAAGGTTGCAGTAAGCCGTGATTGTGCCACTGCACTCCAGGCTGGGTGACAGAGTGAGACCCTGTCTAAAAAAAAATAATAATAATAAAAATTGTTTCAGTTTCCTACAATAATTTCTGCATTCTCTTCTCTGCACTCTTGTATTTTCATAGCTTGAGTTGATCTTTTAGCTATTTAATCATAAATTCTTATGCACTGTTACTGAATTTTTCCCCTTGTAATGATAGGTCACCCTAATCTGAACTCCTCAAACAAGGAACTGTAGTGTCTTAGCCTTGATTTACCTCAAAAGCAGAGCTGAGCTAAGATCTTGCATAAAGGTTGTTTTTTAGAAATTGATTTCAAGGAAAAAGAGTGAGGGGTCAAGAAAAGTGAATGAGACAGATGAGGACCAACCTAGCACTCCTGAGCCAATGAACAGTGTGGGCCCCAGGGGCTAAATCCCCCTAGGATCCCTGAGGAGCTGTGCGGAACCGGCCTGAGAATTCTCTGCTCACAGGACAGAAATGGGGAACATTTATCTACTAGCTCCATCTTCCATTGGCCAAGGCTTGGCTCGTGGGTGTGAGCTCTCACTCTTTTCCAAACGTGTGAACATGTCAGAATCATTGAGCAGATTCTGCCAGGCTCCCATGAGGTTCGGGGAGAGACACCCCAGGGGGGGAAGCCAACGATTCTCCATACTGCCACGGCTAGGTGCTGGCAGGTCATACCTGAGCAGGCTGGTCACTGCACCAATGGCTGGAGTGTAAAGTGGGGCTCAGAGGATGCTGGCAGCTGCGGAGGCATCAAGTATATGTCACATACATGTTTTACTGCCTAGCCCAGTATGTTGCATATGCTGAGGGGCAATGGTTAAGAGGGCAGCCTTTGTGTCAGACTACCCCTTTAGTCCTGGTTCTACTCCTTACTGAATGTGCCATCTTGGGCAAACTACTTAGTTTTTCTGTTGCCTCATTTCCTTATCTTTAAAGTGGGGATAGTACTAGTGCTTACGTCAGGGGGCTATTGTGAGACATGAAGTGCTTAGGAAAGGACCTGTGCCACACGCCGACCAGAGGGCAGTTATTAATTAGGCACCTAGTAAACACTTACTAAGGACTTTTTTTTTTTTTTTTTGAGACAGTCTCTTGCTCTGTTGCCCAGGCTGGCGTGTAATGGTGCGATCTCAACTCACTGCAGCGCCCACTTCCTGGGCTCATGTGATCCTCCCACCTCAGCCTCCTGAGTAACTGGGACTACAGGCGCAAACTATCATGCTTGGCTAATTTAAAGAAAAAAAAAAAAGGCCGAGTGCGATGGCTCATGCCTGTAATCCCAGCACTTTGGGAGGCCAAGGCAGGCGGATCACCTGAGGTCAGGAGTTTGAGACCAGCATGACCAACATGGAGAAACCCCATCTCTACTAAACATACAAAATTAGCCAGGTGTTGTGGCAGGTGCCTGTAATCCCAGCTAACTTGGGAGGCTGAGGCAGGAGAATCGCTTGAACCTGGGAGGCGGAGGTTGCAGTGAGTGAGATCGCGCCTTTGCACTCCAGCCTGGGCAACAAGAGCAAAACTCCATCTCAAAAAAAAAAATTTTTTTTAGAGACAGGGTTTCGCTATGTTGCCCAGGCTGGTCTCAAACTCCTCAAGCAGTCCTCCTGCTTCAGCCTCCCAAAATGTTGGGATTACAGGCATAAGCCACTAAAGGAATTTTAACAGTGGCTTTTTGTAAGTCAATGCTTCTATTTTGGCTTATTTAAAAAATAAAATATATTATTTTCAAATTGAACTTGAAGTGTTTTGTTAAATGATGCATTTAAATAAAGCTTTTCTCCTTTATTTGAAAAAATAAGGAAATAGAAAATAAGAAGGAAAATAGGTCCCAAATCCTAACCTAATGCTGCTACTGCCTGACATTCATCTCTGAGCTTCCAAGCACCCAAGAAAACAAGGGGAACAAGATGAGATGAGCTGCATAATTCTCATTATCTCATGAAAGAAAACAGTTTTTCTTCCAGAGAAACAGACTTTTTTTCCCACCTCACATTAAACTCTAAAAGAAATTTACCAAGAAGTTTTGAGCGATAAAACCAGAAGAATGGAAGGAGCCTGGAACTAGGCTTTGTCCGTTTTGGGCCCGAGCAGCGCCTGGCACATGTGGGCACTCAGTGAATGAATGAGGAGTGTTTTCAGTAGCAGATTTTCCTAAGAACCAGCATCCTGCCTCCAATGACTAACGTAAAAGAGTGGCTCTAATTGAAAGGTTTGGAGCCTGCCTGGAGGACAGAGGTGAGCTGGGTCTGCTCCTAGGGGGATGTTCTGGGGGGGTGGAGACAGGCAGTAGGTCTCCTGCACCCCGCTTGCTCAGAGTGCTGGCCTGACCCCCGCCAGCCTCAACTGCTTTTTTTTGCTTTTTGAGACAGAGTCTCGCTCTGTCGCCCAGGCTGGAGTGCAGTGGCACCAACTTGGCTCATTGCAACCTCCGCCTCTTGGGCTCAAGCGATTCTCCTGCCTCAGCCTCCCAAGTAGCTGGGATTACAGGCGCCTGCCACTGGTCCCGGCTAATTTTTGTACTTTTAGTAGAGACAGGGTTTCACCATGTTGGCCAGGCTGGTCTTGAACTCCTGAACCCAGGTGATCCACCCCCCACTCAGTCTCCCAAAGTGCTGGGATTACAGGCATGAGCCACTGCGCCTGGTCCTTCACTACCTTTTCTTTCCAGCAGTATCTTTCTTTGTCCCCCCATTTCAGACATACTGAGCAGATTCTTTCTGCAGCCTCCTCAAAGGAACAGGTGACAGTCAGGGGTCTTCCAGTGGCCCTCACCCCTGTGGGGGTGGCCCTGACCCGTCCCAGTCAGGCATACATCTCACAGGGTTCCATTTTTGTTTCTCCTGCTGAGCTTCGTCTTTGAGACCCTAGACAGGGCCTCACTCCCTCTTTGATACATTTGCGTCTCAGGGCTTGAGTTAACGTATGGATGCTCTGTCAGTCTGAAGGCCTCAGTTAAAATATTATGATCTGTCTCCTTGAGCCCAAGGAAATCTCATTATAAATAAAGTAATCTCATTTGTGGTTGTGCTCTGTAACCCACAGGCTCAGAAATATATGGATGCAGTGTGCCTGGGAAGTCGGGCTGTCAGATTAATACATTGTGTGAAAATTGGGGCCGGAGGTCACCAGTCTCCTGATACACAAATCTCCCTCTGAGAATCTCATTTCATTCAGACTATCAGTTAGATTAGAAATACCCTAATTATCCCACTGAAATTAAATTACTTTATGTTAGGGTGATATAATGAACAACCATAAAGAGGATATATACAACCAATCATCTTATTAGTCACAGCAAGACCGGCCCATACACTAAAAGGACCTTGTTGATTATTATCAGCAAGTCCCTGTCAGACAAAAAAAGGGTGAGGGAGAGAGGAAGAAGACGGGGGTTAGTGCTGATGCTGCCTCTGGCTGTTGTTGTGTTTCTCCTGGGTAGGTGTGGGGTTCGGATTGTGTTCTTGGGCTGAGTTGCTAAGTTTCTTCCCAAAGGTGCCGCCTCCGGTCATGAAGAGTGAAAGAGCTCTGAAACTCCCCCTGTACCCTAGGCCTTTTTACCCCCATTGCCTTGTGGGCCTCGTGACTGAAGGACAGGGCCAGGCCTCCATTGCCCTTCACTTCTTTATTCCAGAAGCCTTCCCTGTACCTGCCAAGTGAGGCAGCTGTTGCTAAGGGCATGCTTGTCCTCCATGGAAAGATTAACCCCTGGTGATTGTATTTGCTAAAGTAAATAATGCTAGCTGCTATTATCCCTGAATCTCAGCGACTTAACACAATGAAAGTTTATTTCTTATTGAAATTCCTAGCTCATACAGGTCAGTGTGTGTGCATGTGTGTGTGTATGTGTCTACGTGTGATGTGTGTGCATGTATATATGTGCATGGGTGTGTGTGTGTGTGTGCACACATGCGGGTGTGGCACTCTGCTCCAGGCAGTCATTCAAGAACCCACCCGGTGGCTCTACCCCCACTGGTTCAGTGTTCTCACTAGCAGTGCTGTTGACATTTGGGGGCTGGATGATTCTTTGTTGTGGGAGCTGTCCTGTGCACTGTAGGATGTTTAGCCACATCCCTGGCCTCCACCCACTAGATTCCAGTAGGACATGCTTCTAGTTGTGTCAATGCAAAATGTCTCTAGACATTGCCAAATGCCCCTGGGGGAAGGGACAAAATGGCCCCTGGTTGAATTGAGAACTGCTGCTCTAAGTCAATGGAGGCTTCTCCATTTGTCAGGAGGGTGGGGGAATTGAGCAAGGAGGATTCTGCCAGAGCTTTTTATGGGCCAGGCCTGGCACACATCACTTCTGCTTACACTCTATTGGGTAGAAGACACATGGCTTCACCTATCTGAAAGGGTAGATGGAATTGTCATGTAGGCATGTTCCCAGGAGGAAAAGGAAATAGGGTTTGTTGAGTATGTGTTTTTCTCTGCCACACCAATAAGCCAAGGGTAAGCCAAGGGTATACCAGATCTGGTACCTCCCATTCCTGGCACTTGATGCCTTTGAGTCTGCCAGTTGCCACTACAGGTACCTCTGGGTCTGCCTTTTTATCTCCCCACCCTCCTTTGTCTCCCAATCAAGGCTCATCTGTCTTCCCTTTCATTTGTGCAGAACCCTGATTTCTAAAATAACTGAATCTGTGCTGATGTGGTCAAAGGATGCTGATGAGCTCATGAGCACCTCCTTCTGGGTAGTATAATTATGATTTTTAAACTGAAACAGTGGGAGAGTGGACACATGAGCCACTCTGGCTGACTGTGCAGAGGGGAACGGGGCAGGGTCTCTGGGTGGACTGTATCTGTGTAGTATGGTTACAACACAGTTGTTATAAATAGAAAAACATAGTGATAACAGTTTAAACATTTATAATACCATTACCTTAAGTAGATGTTTTAATTAAATGATCAGCAAATGTGAAATAATTTAACAGAATGGGTACAATAACTCTTGAGCAAATAAATCACCACAAAAGTTGAGCCCTAGTTCCTGTTCCTGGAATGTGTTCAGGTAGCTTGGTCCTTTTGGTAACCTGCTTTCTTCCTCAACACCAATACATAAGCACATAGGTAATGACTGGAGGTTAAATTTTTAAAATTATTATCATCATTTGTAAGAGCACACACTTGAACATCTCTCCTACACAGGGGGTATGTAGCTGGAAAAGTGATGACCCCAGTATTGGGCTTGGTACTTGAATGCTGATTATTGTCAGTGCTGTTACCTGTGTCAGTGGGTAGCTTCCCAGAGAGGTGAAAGGATGTGCTGCCTGGTTTACCAACTTATTGCCCAGGTGATAACATCATATCTTGAAAATTATGCTACTACTAAGCAATGTTGTAGTAGAAGGAGCTTTGTGGTAGGAGACTGGTGTCCTGAATACCTGAGCTGGCTGTGTGATTGGCCTTGAGATTCTGGGTGAATCAGGTCACCATCAGGGCAGGGAAGACTTTAAACACCTACTTCCCTTCATGGGTTTTTGGCAAGCAGCTTATGAGCCCCAACCCAATACAACCTCCATGCTGCAAGCAGAGGGACATTTGGATGAGGCCACATTTCCGCCCTCACCTCCATTCAAAACTTTTCCATGCCATGCAATTTGCATTGTAAACAAAGACAGAACTCCTTTGGGTGTCCTGTGGAACCCTGAGGGGTCTGCCTCTTCCTCAGGCTCCCCTCGCTCATTAAGCTTAATGCATATGGGCTCTGTTTCCAGTCCTTACCATGCCCCTGCCACTCTAGGGCTTTGCCCACACTGTGTCCTCTGCCTCAGTGCTTTCCTCTTCTCTCTCCATTTGGTTAGCTCTTCCTTACCTTTTAGTTTCAGTTCAAGGGTCACTTTCTTAGGGCTGACTTGGTCTAATTAGACCCTGACCAGGTCTAATTCCCCTCTCCTGGGCTCTCTCAGGATTCCCTGAAAGCCTAGGGACTTTCAATTATTGTCATAATTGCAATTTTACATGCGTCATATTATTTGAATACATCCTGTCTCCATCATTTGACTATAAGCACCATGAGAACTGTGATTGATAGTCCTACTTACTGTTGTAATTTAGTGCCTGACCTAGTGCCTGGCACATAGTAGAAGTTAATGCATTTTTTATGCATAAATGTATTAAACATTTGAGCTGTTTGAAAATATTAATCAATCAGACTTGACACTGAAATACAGCCTGCTTTGGTTGACCGTAAAGCTGCCAACAATTTGGAAAGATGGGGTCTCACAGAGTACCCCAAGAAAGCGAAGGTGGTCAGTGAAAACAGCGTGGCATTCCGTATGTATCTTTGTCAGCTTGACTTTATCATTTTTATTGGAAATCTTCCTAAAGCCCCCAAATCCCATAGCTTTTCAAAGCCTTTTACTTAAAATGCATGTACCTGGGCAATCTGTTTGCAGCTAGCAACCCCTAGGAGCCTGACTGTGGTACAAAGCACAGTTTGCAAGTAAGTAGCCTGAGTTGGGGGAAGAGAAGATTACTAATCATGCAGAAGTGACTCCAGTGCTCTGAGATGAGTAATTCCCTTCCTAGGTTAACGGATGGGGGCGAGTTGTCTGTGAGCATCTAGATGTTGAAGTCAGAGGATGGTTCACCAGCCCCTCGAGAGCCTCAGCCTCTTATGATTCATGGCATGTGGCCACCTCTCAGCTCTGAACAGAGTGAGGTATGAAGTCATTTCCAAAGCAGCGTCTATGAAATTCCATTACACGGTGCTTTTCAATTTAAGGAGAAAGACCTTTGCTGAAACTAATTTGCAGTTGCTTTAATCATGGAGCTCAAAGATGGCAGCTTCCCCAGTGCTGTGGCTAAAAAGGCTCCCACTGGCTTTGCAGATTGGGTGCTACCCCTTTTCACCTCAGCTCCTGAATTCCTTCTGTGGTTGTTGTACATCCCCTAATTTTTGCAATTTTTGAGACAAAAAGGAAGTAATTACATTCAGTACTCCTGGTGAATGTAAATGTTTTGGAATCAGAAATTTGAAAATATTCAGAGTTAAGTCACAGCAAATCAGATGTTCCTAAAGAGGGGGATCATTCCTGGTTTGTTTATTCTCCCCTGCCAGCCTCCCAAGGACTTTCTCCTGGGTTCCTTTGTTCCTTTATTCACTGACACCACTGGGATTTTCTCCACCTAAAAAAGGGCAGCTGGAATTTGTAAAAAGTAAAGAGCACTTGGCCAGGAATCAGGACACTGGGTCTAGTTTTAGTCTTATTATTACTTTTTTTTTTTTTTAGAGACAGGGTCTTGCTCTGTTGCTCAGGCTGTAATGCAGTGGTACAATCATAGCTCACTGCAGCCTTGAACTCCTGGGCTCAAGCAGTCCTCTCGCTCAGCTTCTCAGGTAGCTGGGACTACAGTCACACACCACCATGCCCGGCTATTTAAAAAAATATTTTGGCCGGGTGCCAGTGGCTCATGCCTGTAATCCCAGCACTTTGGGAGGCCGAGGTGGGAGGATTGCCTGAGTTCAGCAGTTCATGACCAGCCTGGGCAACATGGTGAAACCCCGTCTCTACTAAAATACAAAAAAAAAAAATTATAAAAATTAGCCGGGTATTGTGGCATGCACCTGTAGTCCCAGCTACTTGGGAGGCTGAGGGGAGAATTGCTTGAACCTGGGAGGCAGAGGTTGCAGTGAGCCAAGATCATACCGCTGCATTCCAGCCTGGGAGACAAAGTGAGACTCCGTCTCAAATATATATATATATATATATATATATATATATATATATATATATATATATTTATATTAGAGACTCCAGTCTTGCTATGTTGCCCAGGATGTTCTCGAACTGTGGCCTCAAGCGATCCTCCTGCCTTGGCCTCCCAAAGTGCTGAGATTATAGGTGTGAGCCTCCACATCTGGCCTAGTGTTACTTCTGTTTACCAAATTTAGTCCCTTGGGAAGTTCATTAAGCCTTTCTGGACATCTCATCAACTGCAGATGATAACATCCTGAATATCACATGGGGCTTTGGGGGCAGAGCGGGTGAGATAAAATGTGTGAAAGTATGTAAGATGTGCTCAAACCTATGGGGTTGACAAGGAGTTGGTGACATCAATTTAGCCAAGGTTATTTACTGAATAGCAGTCGTCTCAGTCAAAAGACCTTCCTGCTGACCAAAAACTCCCTGAGGTAAATTTCACAGCTGCTTGAAATCCCTTTGGGTGGAAGCTCTGTGACTCCTGGAATCTCCTATGAACACAGGAAGATGTAGAAAAGAATCAGACACCCTTTGGGTGGAAGCTCTGTGACTCCGGGAATCTCCTATGAACACAGGAAGATGTAGAAAAGAATCAGACACCAACTAGCCAATTTTCAGTCATCCATATTTAGCCCAAGTTTATCAGATAGCCATTAGTTCCTTGGAGAAAAAAATAAAAGGAGATACTGGGATGTGGGGACAGGTAGGTTTTATTGGAAAGTTCTGTTGCTGGGGGAAAGAGGGGGATGGTTGTGAATATTTTTACCACATGATATTCTTTTTTTTTTTCTTGAGATGGAGTTTCGCTCTGTTGCCCAGGCTGGAGTGCAGTGGCACGATCTTGGCTCACTGAAACCTTCGCCTCCTGGGTTCAAGCGATTCTCGTGCCTCAGCCTCCCGAGTACCTGAGACTACAGGCACGTGCCACCACACCCAGCTAATTTTTGTATTTTTAGTACAGACAGGTTTTCACTGTGTTGGGCAGGCTGGTCTTGAACTCCTGACCTCAGGTGATCCGCTCGCCTCAGCCTCCTAAAGTGCTGGAATTACAGGTGTGCCTGGATTTTTTTTTTTTTTTTTTAAGAGACAAAGTCTTGCTCTGTTGCCCAGGCTGGAATGCAGTGGCACGATCATAGCTCACTGCAGCATCCAACTCCTGGGCTCAAGTCATCCTCCTGCCTCAGCCTTCCGAATAGCTAGAACCACAGGTGCACACCACCATGCCTGGCCAATTTTTTTTTTTTTTTTTGGTAGAGACACTGTCTTGTTATATTTCCTAGGCTGGTCTCGAACTCCTGGCCTCAAGCAATCCTCCCTCCCCTTCTTCCCAAACTGTTGAGATTACAGGCATGAGCCACTAAGCCAGCCTGATGGTCTCAACACAGACTTGGGTAAAATAAAGTACAATGATGAAAGATAACACGTCAAGTACTGGGATAAATATTTCATTTGTTTAGTGGATATTAGTCATTCTTTTTGGTTGTTGGTAGCTGAACACACTTCCTCTGACTATAGGATACTCCTCCTCACCCATGCGCACAGTACAGAAGCTGAATATAACAGATAACTTGCTTTCCCCATTTCCTTTGCAGCTCGGATGCTGGCATGAGACCCAGGCTCTGCCAATGGACCCACCCCAGGCTGTGAATCAGCAGCTGCTGACGGGCTGAGGCTGTGACTGCTCAGGATCCATTCTGGCGAGGGAGAGGGGCCTATGGCAGTGACTTCCCACTTGTGATGGCAGCCGTCACTGCTGCTCTGGGGCCAGTGAACAGTGTGTCTGGGGACAGCGGCCGTGGCTTGGCAGAGGTTTCTTCAGGGGACTAGCTCTGTGATGTGATTTTTGGGTGTTATTCCTGGCAACATAGTATTCAAACCTGTTCTCCAGCCTTCCTGGAGATCTGGGGTCTCCAAAATCCTTTTAACAATTCCCTTTTCTAACCAAATTAGCCAGAGTTCATTTCTATGGATTGCAACTAGAAATCCTGATAAAGACACATATATGCTTTAATCCTCACAACAACCCTATGAAGTAGCATATCCATTGTTTGCATTTTATGATCAATGAAACTGAAGTGCAGGAGTCAGGGGTCATGCCAGGCTGAGTAGCAGAGCAAAGTAGGGCTGTTGAACTCCAGCGTCTGGGATCTGTACCTTTCAGGGCAAGGAAAGCATGAGGGTGCTCAGAATTACCTGCTGAGACGACGGGTTGTTGGGGGGTGGCCCGACTAAAGGGGTATGGGAGAAAGGAGCATGGGGACAAAGCCCCTCTTGCACCCTCTCCTCCACTAATGAATACACAGTTCTTTGTGTACTATGGAGGAGGCTATAGAAATGTGCCATGCTAGTGTGTGATCAAGGAAGGTCTTAGTATTTTATTATTATTATTATTATTATTATTAAGATGGGAAAGACACCAACATATTAAAAAACTGCCATGGTAACAGTCAAGAGGGAGGGAGAGGCTGAATGATAAAAGACAAGGGATGGTTGATAATGAGATTACCCTGAAGGGCAGGAAGGGATGGGACCCAAAGCCCAGATGGAAATCCTGGCCATGATAGGAAGAGGGACACTCCCACAGAGTTCCAGCAGGGATGGGAGGAGCAGGTATGTGCAGATGTCACCTATAAAGGTTATGTAGTGGAAGCTGAGTGTTCCCATATGCTGGCTTCTCTTTGCTTTCTGAAATAGAAGATCAGATCATCTCCTGAGAGTGGGGTTAAGTGGACAGGGCAAGTCAGAGATTCAACGACAGTGGGTAAAGTTTAAATATTGAGTGCAGAAACAAAGAGCTTTAGTTAGAATGTCAGTTAGGCTGCTGTAACAGAAGACACCGGAATATAGTGGCTTAAACAAGAGAGATTATTTCCCTGTCACATCGCAGTCCAGGGATAAGATCTGGCACCGGCAGAGGAGCTTGCCTGTGCTGGGGCCCCCTACTCTTTTCTTCCTGTAGCTCTGTTGTCCTTGGAGTGTTGTCCTCACCCGTGTGGCTGCAGAGGATGTGCCATCACAGCCAGGCTTCCCTGACAGGAGGGGGAAGAAAGAAGAGGGCAAGCTCCTGAAATTGCACATTTCACTCACATCCCATTGGCCAGAATCTCACCCTGTGGTCACATCCAGCTGCAAGGGAGTCTTAGAATTGTAGTCTTTAGTGGGACAGCCATGAGTCCTAAAGGAAAGAATGGCTACTGCAGGGACGGTGCCAGGCTCTGCCACACCAGGATAGAGAAAAGCTGTTAGGTGCTCTGTGACCTGTATTTGCTGGACAAGGGATTCTCCTTCTCCTTCTCCTCTTTCTTCTCCCGCTTCTTCTCTCTTCTCCCTTTCCCCCTTCCCTCCCCTCCCTCCTTTTTCTTTTTTTTTTGCCCTTCTTGGAAATCAATAGTTGTTTCTTCCTTATTTGGTTTGAGATCGCGTAGTTGCTCTGGATTGATTTGTCTTTGTTCTTCCCAGGCCATCCTCTTTGGTCCTCGCTTGGGCTCTTGACACATTCTTTGCTCAACTTCCCACCATATATAGATAAGTCAAATAAACATTAGAGAAGCGTGACAAGTTGGTGGGCGAAACACTGGAGATGTGTCCCCATGGGAACAGGGTGAGCATCAGCGCCGGCACAGCCCATGATGTCCTCCGTCTTCCAGATTAGACGCTGTGGATGCTGAGTCTGAACTGCCTGTGCCTCTTTTCCACTATGGAACTTGCCCACTGTTCTCTAGGTGATCATCTTTCCTTAAATATTGCTTTACCTGTTCACCATGGGGACCAAATCTTTAGTTCTAGAGCAGTCGTTAGTTTCTGTGCCAGGGGCCTTGAGAATCTGGGCTAGCAGATTTGAGGAGTCTGTGGGGGAACCAGAAGTATTCCGAATTTAGGGAATGAAAAGTAGGAAAAACTGAAAACTCCCAATTCTCTTTCTACCACTGGAGGACATACCAAGAGACCAGGACTAAATTATGTGTCTTCTTTGTACCTCCTACAAGTTACACATCTCTTCTTTAGAGACTAGAATACAAAGCAAAACAGCTGGATTTCAGTGTTTGCTACATCCCTAACCAGCTGTGATATCTTGGACAAGGGGCTTAACTTGTCTGGGCCTCATCTTCCTAACCTATGAAACGTGGTTGGAGCAATGGCAGCTGAGGTGCATTCCAACATGAGAGTGAGCCTGAGAATATTAGTCAGAAGATGTTTTTCTTTTCTTTTTTTTTTTAGGATGAGTGGTGTGATGTTGCATAAAGGTAATGGCATGCTGGGGGCTGTGGCTCATGCCTGTAATCCCAGCACTTTGGGAGGCCAAAGCAGGAGGATCACTTGAGGCCAAGAGTTTGAAATGAGCTTGGGCAACATAGTGAGTCCTTGTCTCTACCAAAAAATAAAAAATAAATATACTCCAAGATGGTGGCACGTCTGTGGTCCCAGCTACTCAGGAGGCTGAAATGGGAGAATTGCTTGAGCCTGGGAGATGGAGGCTGCAGTGAGCTGTGATTGCGTGACTGCACTTCAGCCTGGATGACAGAGCGAGACCCTGTCTCAAAAAGAAAAAAAGGCAGGATTGAAAAGAAGTAGAAAATGACATTTTTCTGATAATTCTTGCTTAATTAGTTTGGGTCAAAGAACCCATCATGTATTATATTGTAAAACAGGGCAAGGGAACGCAACCTGGAGACTTGGGCGTGCATTTGACAGTGTTCGTTGAGCGGCCTCAGTGGCGAGGTGCTATATTACAGGCTAAGACAAGCTTGAGCACCGGGGGACATCCCCGTCCTCACAGAGTTCCTCCTCTAGTTGGTGACACAGATAATAACATATACAGACACAATGAAAGATCAGGTAGTGATAAATGCTGTGAAAGGAAATAAAGCAGGATCAGTGGTCAGAGAGTGGAGGGGCTGAAGGGTGCTGTTGGGGAGAAGGTAAATGGGAAGTCTTCTCTCATCAGGTGGCATTTGGGCAAGGTACCTGAATACAGCGAGCCACGTGAATACCCAAGGACAGGCATTCCAGGCAGTGGGAAGAGTGAGGGCAAAGCCTCTGAACATGCTTGGGCAGGTCAGTGTGGGGAGAATGGCATAGATGAGGGTACTTGGAATAGAAAAGGTAAAGGGGGAGTCACAGCCAGATCATGCAGGGCCCTGTTTGCCAAGAGGAGGGCTTTGGATTTTGTTCTAAGTGTGACGGAAGCCGTTGGAGGGGATCTAGAGAAAGCAGTAGCTGGGCATCACAAAGGGAGTTGGATGCCAAGGAACCCATGTCTCACTAATGTCCAGAAAGCTGGGAGAGTCTGGTGAAGTGGAAGTGAAAAGGGATGGAGGGTCCCACACCTTTGCCCTGTGAGTAGAAGGGAGCTGTGGGCGCTCACCTGCATATCCCCAAGTGTAGACCTGTTAGTGGAGAGAGAGAGGAGAGAATTTTACTTCAGTCTGTGTCCTGAAGTTCTTCTTGGAGAGTTAATTGCTCAAGGTGTCTTACTTTTTATGTTAAGTCATCTATACACACACACACCCACACACACACACACACACACACACACACACACACACACAGATTAGGGGCACAGGCCTCAGAATCAGAATTGGGACTCAGGTTTCCACCCCAGCTACTGTCCTTACTAGCTCGTGTCCTTTGGGAAGAGAATTAACCTTTCAGAGCCTCCATTTTCTCCCCTGTAAAATGGCAGCATGAACAGACTACTAGTCAAACAGTTGTTGTGAAGATCAAATTAGAGAGTGCATGTGAAGCACAGTTCTTGGCATGTAGTAAGTGCTCAATAAATTGCAGCAGTCATTATTATTATGCTTAATAAGTAGTAGCATCATCATGATCATCATCATCATCATCATCTACCTTTTTCAAAAGATGTTCTTTATTGAAACAAAACGCCAAACAATTCACAAGTTCCATTTGCACTTCCAAAAATGTCTCTATTTTGCGCCAACATGTCTTTTCCTTTCCAGGCCTGACCAGGCAGCCTGGAGTCTGGAGAGGAAGTTAGGGGTGACGCTTTTGGATGGGAAACCACCTGTTCACTCTTTTGTATTCTCCTCCGAGAAATCTGTTGTCCTAGGAAGTCTTTTCTTTGGATGGCAATTTAGCCACTAAAATGGAGCCGGGCTTTTTTGTGTATGATTGCACACTGGTTCCAAGGCTCAGCAAGGGGGTGGAACAGCTTGTGTTCAGCAGGTGATGGTGGAGTGTCCTGCTGGCAGCCCCTTATCCTCACAGAGCCATAGGAAATCTGTGCCGTCTGTTCATGAGCACGTTCATGTGTGCATCTGTGTGTGTGTGTGTGTGTGTGTGCATGCACACCTGTGCACATTTGTATGTGTGGTGTTCCTGATGAACTTTCCCAAGGATCTGGTCTTAATCTCCCACTCTGAGATGCTATGTGGCTGTGTGTCACAGATATAGACAGCATCACCTCCTGTCTGAGCCACCTTCCAAGAGGTTAGGACATTTTGGTTTCCCCGAGACTGTAAATAGCTACAGATGAGGAGTTCCAGAGACTCGGGGACTCAGTTCTACAGGATGCAGGGTACCCTGGCCAGCAGGCTATCCAGTGTGGACAGTAAATGTTAAGATTTCTGAGTCAGACATTATCAGGTTTGAATTCCAGTCCTAACCCTTGGTAACTGTCTAACTTTGGACAACTCACTTATCTGAGCCTGTTTCCTTTTCTGTAAGATAAATCCTGGCAGATGGTAAGTGCTCAACAAACAGCAAGTCATTGCTAAGACAGGGGTTCTTGGTTGTGTAGTTTACCAGCTAAGTAGCCCTACCTATGTTGTTTCACCTTGATGTTCTGCTGGTTAAAAAGAGTAGGGACTTGAGAGTCCTTTCTAGCTCTGGGGTTCTGGGATTCTACCCAGGGCTCCTCCAGAGGTCTTGATTCCTTTGCGTGTTCCTCTTGAATTACTCCCTCTCTCTCTCCTGAGGATCATTCTTGCCAGTGTAGACACGTAGCCCACTCTCTCCCATCTTTGAAACAAATCACCCTTTGTCATATGTCTGCTCTCTTTCTCAACAAATACCCTGAACGCTTTATATTTACACTTCCTTAGTTTCATAGGAGCAGAGGTTCTAGGGAAAGCAGAAAAAAATGAATTGGGTCAAAAATGGAAGCCATGAGGAAATCTTACTTCCTCCAAGTTCTTGGCCCGAGAGATGCCTTAAGATGACACCAGCTTTGTTTTCCTCTCTGCTTGTGATGGTCAATTTTATCTGTTAATTCGGTTGAGCCATGATGCCCGGATATTAAAAATGATTTCTGTGAGGCTGTTTTGGGTGAGATTTACATTTAAATCAGTGGACTTTGAGTAAAGGCGATTGCCCTCCATCATGTGGGTGGGCCTCGCCCAATCAGTTGAAGGCCTGACTAGTACAAAAGGCTGACCACCCTTGAGCAATAGGAATTCTGCGCTAGATGGTATGTCAGACTTGCACTGTGACATTGGCTCTTTCTGGGTCTCCAGCTTAATGGCCTTTGGACTTGAACTGCAACTCTTTCCTCAGTCTCCAGCATGCTGGCCTCTGCCCCCTCCAACATCCTGTTGGCTTTGTTTCTGGAGAACCCTGTCTAATATACTCCTCCAGGCCAGGTGCAGTGGCTCATGCCTGTAATTCCAGCACTTTGGGAGGCCGAGGCAGATGGCTCACTTGAGGTCAGGAGTTTGAGACCGGCCTGGCTAACATGGTGAAACCCCATCTCTACTAAAAAAAAAAAAAAAAAAAAAATTAGCTGGATGTGGTAGTTTGCACCTGTAATCCCAGCTACTAGGGAGGCTGAGACATGATAATTGGTTGAACCCAGGAGGCAGAGGTTGCAGTGAGCCGGGATCACGCCACTGTACTCCAGCCTGGGTGACAGAGTGAGACTGTCCTCCCCCACCAAAAAAAAAAAAAAAAGAAAATAATAAAAATACACTGGTCTACCTCAGCCTGCTCATGTGTGTCCTTCCCCCTGGTTCTAGTTTCTTCTCTTCTGATAGGATTTATTTCCTAATGGCCATATAATTCGGAGAAAAGGGACCTGATAAACACAGTCATACCAAGGCATTAGAGACAGATATGTGTCCCCTCCCATGTGGGGTCTGCCATAGAAAAGGAAGAGGGCCACGCTTTACACAAAACTCTCCAAGAATGGACACTTAGGGATCAATGGGAATGTTGCCTCATTTTTCCAGAATGCTAGATTAGTTAACAGTCATAGAGCTAGAAGGAGCAAGCCTGCAATGAGAAAAAGAACAAAACCTCACCTGCCTAGTCCAGCCTGCTGGAGTGATGTCAGGGAAGAAGCATGGGCTTTGACATCTGATGGACTCAGGCTTAAATCCTTTGTCTTTGGGCAAATCCCTGGACTTCTCTGAGCCTCAGTTTCCTCATCTGGAAATTGCAATTTTAATGCTGCAGAGGATTGCTGTGACAAGTAATGCATACATATAAACTTCCTAGGACGTGATAGGAGCTAAAACAATGCTAGCTTCTTTATCCTCTTAAGAGAGAAATTTGTCTGAAGGTAGGCAGGGGCAGTGAGACTTAAACCTGTACGTGAAGTTGCAGTGACCATGGTACAAAGTGCGTCCTTCCCTGATGGCATCCATAATTCTGGGTTTACAGAACTTATTTATTTATTTATGACAGAGTTTCACTCTTGTTGCCCAGGCTGGAGTGCAGTGGCACCATCTCGGCTCACTGCAACCTTCGCCTTTCGGGTTCAAGCAATTCTCCTGCCTCAGCCTCCTGAGTAGCTGGGACTACAGGTGCATGCCACCACACCCAACTAATTTTTGTATTTTTTTTAGTCGAGATGGGATTTCACCATGTTGGCCAGGATAGTCTCGATTTCTTGACTTAGTGATCCGCCCACCTTGGCCTCCCAAAGTGCTGGGATTACAGGCCTGAGCCACCGTGCCCAGCCCAGAATTTATTTATTTTTAAGCACTTGTGCATTTATTTATTTTTGAGACATGGCCTTGCTCTGTTGCTCAGGCTGGAGTGCAGTGGCATGATCATGTCCCACTGCAGCCTTGACCCCCTGGGCTCAAACAATCCTCCCACCTCAGCCTCCTGAGTAGCTGGGACCACAGGCATGCACCACCATGACTGGCTATTTATTTTTTTCGTTCTGTAGACGTGGGGCTGTCCTTGTGTTGTCCAGGCTATTCTAGAATTTGTGGGCTCAAGCGATCCTCCTGCTCAGCCTCCCAAAGTGCTAGGATTACAGGTATGAGCCACGTGACTGGCCCAGATATGTATTTAATTGCAGGAGCAGCAAACCCATAATGACAACTGCTCATCCCTTTTTTTTTTTTTTTTTTTGAGATGGAGTTTCGCTCTGTCTCATAGGCTGGAGTGCAGTGGTGCATTCTCAGCTCACTGCAACTTCTGCCTCTCAGGTCCCAGCGATTCTCCCACCTCAGCCTCCTGAGTAGCTGAGACTAAAGGCGCCCACCACCAAGCCCGGCTAATTTTTTGTATTTTTAGTAAAGATGGGGTTTCGCTATGTTGGCCAGGCTGGTCTCGAACCCCTGACCTCAAGTGATCCACTCGCCTTGGCCCCCCAAAGTGCTGGGATTACAGGGGTGAGCCACTGCACCCAGCCCTGCTCATCTTTGAAAAGTGGCCTGCAAGAGCTTCCCCTCTCACTCTCCTCCTACAGTTGCTTCAGGACACAGATTGAGAGCCTGTTTGTCATCCCTTGTAGGCTTCGAGGGAGACTTTTTCCTCTTTTTGCTCTGTCATGGATCCCTGAGTCCACCTGATGACTTTGCATTGATCTGAGTAAAAATGGCTCCAAAGTGCCCTTCCTTCTGTGGTCCCCTTGGAGAAATGGCATAGACATTATGAGAATGAAGAGTCAACAAAGGGGCCAGGTGCAGTAGCTCACGCTTGTAATCCCAGAAAGCTTTGGGAGGCTGAGACGGGAGGATTGCTTGAGCCCAGGAGTTCGAGACCAGCCTGGGCAACATAGCGAGACTCTGTCTCTACAAAAAATGAAAAAATTAGCTGGGCCTGGTGGCACACGATTGTAGTCTCAGCTACTTGGTAGGCTGAGGCAGGAGGATTGCTTGAGCCCAGGAGTTGGAGGCTGCAGTGAGCTATGATCATGCCACTCCAGCCTGGGCAACAGAGCAAGACCCTGTCTCAAAAAAAAAAAAAAAAGTTAACAAAAGCCTCAGGAACAAAGAGAAAGGTATTTTATCTTACTCTTCTGCTAAACTAAAAGACACTTCAGTTTATCTCTGTTGGCCTCCTGGATAGCTTTCACCCATAGCACCTCATGACCAGGTGGCTATATAAACTATCATCAGTAGTGGTACACTTTCAAGAGTGAAGTGTTGCTATTAATAATTGCATCAGGACAGCAGATATAAACTGAGCAATATGCTTACTTAGTATTAAGTATTATATTAAGTATTGATACTTAGTATTATGCATGCTCTTCTCATAGAACTTAGTGTTAAGAGCTTACTTAGCATGAAGAGCCATTTAGACACTTAATAAGTCTGAATAGGCTTAATGAATAATGGCCTTGTATTGGTCAGGGTTCTCCAGAGAAACAGAACCAATAATAGGTAGTTAGATGTAGATATAGGTATAAATATGGATATATGGAATTGGTTCATGCAGTTATGGAAGCTGAGAATTCCCAAGATATGCATCTTCAAGCTGGAGAACAAGGGAAGTCAGTGGTATCGTTCAGTCTGAGTCCAAGACCTGGAAACCATGTGGGGTGCTGGTACAGGTCCTGGAGTCTGAAGATCTGAGAACATGGAATTCCGATGTTCAAGAGCAGGAGAAGATGGCTGTGCCAGCTCTTGAAGACAGAGTGAATTCACCTTTCTCCTGCCTTTTGGTTCAATTTGGGCCCTCAATGGATTGGATGGTGCCCAGCCCCACTGGGTGAAGGTGGATCTTCCAGACTCAGTCCATGATTCAAATGCCAATCTCTTCTGGAAACACCCTCATAGACACACCCAGAAATAATGCGTTACCAGCTATCTGGACATCCCTTAATCCAGTCTAGTTGACTTATAAAATTAACCATCACGGACCTGATATCTCTCTCTCTCTCTCTTTCATAAACATTTACTCATTTTGGTTGAAACCTGTCAAAAGTGAGATTTTTCTCTAATTTTTGCCAATTAGAAAGACAAGTGGGGGTGATGTGGAGTCACAAACCTAGGATCTGATCTAAACATTGGACCAACCAGCGTATGGACAACCTTCCATTACATCATATCGTGATGCATTCTGGGCTAGACTGCAGCTGAGTTGGAATAAATTGTTCCTCAGCACTGCTCTGGCTTAGAACAGTGGGCCTAGAATGAGGATGAGTAAAAACAGCGGTGAGCTTTTGTTGAGCTCAATGAGGGAAGAAACTTTTTGTGTTTGTAAGTTCTAGGAGAACTGAGCAGCTGGACCCCACTCTAAACTTAACCAGCCAAAATCTTCAAGAAGTTCAAGGAGGCCATAAGCTTAAGATGTGTGTAGCGAGTGGCCGGGCGCTTCTCCCCCATTTTGCGATAACAGTTTTTATAAGTGACATTTTTGTTTCAAAGTCTTGTCCATCCATCAATCCTTGTCCATCCTTCTGTTGCCTTCCCAAGTCAGCAGTGCCCCTTCCCAGCCCACCTGGCACCAGATGTTCCATCAGCCACCACTGTGTGTCCCACATCCTCCGCGAGACAGAATGCGAAATCTCAGGCGACAGTCACCTGGAAGCGCTTAGCCCTCAACAGCTGCAGCCCCTTGATTACCTTGCCCGCCTCGGCAGCTCCGTGCCGCCACCGTATCAATTGCTTGTCAATTCGGTTTAGCGATGACTTTGACTGACTGGAATGAGGGGAGTGGAAGTGGGGTGTAGGCAAATGGTTAAAATTAATTGCTACATAAGAAAAAATTGAAAGATAATTATTCCTGCTTTCCTGTCAGTGCTCGAGGGTAGATGACCTCATTAACTTGCAGCTTGTACACAATTCAATTACTAGGAGACGGAAAATACATTTTTAATTACCTCAGTGGCCTGCGTACCATTCATCTCCATTTGCACAGAGGTTTTTTTCTTTTTCTTTCTTTTTTTTTTTTTTTTAACTGTTGTGCTCTGAAGCACCATCTTAGGAAGGTTGCCCAAAAGCCAGTTTCCTGTTTCTATTATTTCTGTTTAAGGTGGGATTGAAAATGTGTGAGATTAACCCCTAGATGCCAGGTGAATTGCAAGGCAACCCTTGCTGTAGTAATGCGTTTTTAATTAGCTTCTTATGTCAGAAAATTCCCAGCTCCGAGTGAGACAGAATTAAGGAGGAGAAAATTGTGTATTTGGTTTTCAGTCATGGAAAGAAGAAATTAAAAGCCGTGGAAAGCATGGAAATTAGGAAAGTGGGCCAATACCAATATCCATACGGATCCTGAAGGAGAATTCTGGGCCTATTTTCATGTCTATTATTTCACTGATTGAGTTAAATGATGACTTAATTATCTTAAATGTATCCTTTGGCATTCTTTTTTTTTTTTTTAATTCCAGGCACAATTTAGAAAACTCTGTATGCTGTGATGGTTTTGTAGCAATTCCTGTGTGTGTTGGCTTTTATTGCTCTCAGTATCAATTCTGAGAGTAGCTGTTGCCCCCTCTGCAATTGTCTCCCATTCCCAAAGTGCCCTGGCTTTAGATCCCTCAAATACTCAGAAACAAGGTAGATACAACAGCCTCTAGATAAAAATCATTCATATAGGACCTGCCCCTATAATGCACAGCCACATGACCAAGGATAGCTTGTTCTTCCCTCTACTCTGTAAGTACAGAACATAAAAAGGGGCAAGTTTCTAGATCACACTTGTAAAGTGTCTTTAGCCCACATATATTTGGGGATTTGGGGATCCTATTTGCAAAGGCAACTTATTTGTATGGATGAATCCCATGGTTATTGTTCACTAATCATGATGGTTGTGTGCTTTAGTAAGAGTAACAATTATATGTAGTATATTTAGAAAAATCTGGGTGATCTTGTCAGTTGACTTGCTGTTGTATATATATTTGGATATAGAATCACAATAAAGGTATTGCTCTTGAGCCATACAGGAAACACCTAAATAACACAACAAAATGATGCTAATTCTGCCAATGCCAGATTTGTGAGGAGATCCTCCTCCTCTTTCTCTTCTCTCTTTTTATTCTGTCGTTGTTGAGACAGGGTCTTGCTGTGTTGCCCAGGCAGGAGTGCAGCGGTGCAATCAGCTCACTACAGCTTCCAACTCCTGGGCTCAAGTGATCCTCCTGCTTCAGCCTCCCCAGTAGCTAGGGTTACAGGTGCACACCACCATGCCTGGCTAATTTTTTTTTTTTTGTAAAGATAAGGTCTCACTGTGTTGCTCAGGCTGATCTCAAACTCCTTGCCTTGAGTGATCCTCCTGCCTCAACCTCTCAAGTAACTGGGACTACAGGCATATACCATCATGACCAGCTAATTTTTAATTTTTCTTTTTGTAGAGACAGGGATCTTGCTATGTTACACAGGCTGGTCTTAAACTCCTGGGCTCAAGCAATCCTCCTCCCTCAGCTTCCCAAAGTGCTGGGATTATAGACATGAGCCACTCTGCTGGGCCTCAATCCCCGACTCTTTTGTCATTCATACATGAGCTCAGGAACATTGGCTGAACTCTGTCTGGGCAAGGAAGGAATAAGAGACACTCTTGTTTTCATGGTGCCTGTGGTCAGCAGGGGAGATTAACATATAAATTAGTAATTGATAATGTTGCATGATGGATACAGCAATGAAGTACTCACCTGGAGAGAGTGTGATTAATATTTTCCAAGGTTTCCAGTAATGTTTTCTGTTGCAGAAACCTTGTTTTGTTTGCAACTTGTGTTCCAAAGGAGAGTTTCTAATTCTATCAAGTGATCTGTGGTTAGTTCTCTGAAAGATGGGCCAGACTTCCAGTGATACTTAAGAAGTTGGGAATTGGGACAGCTGTAGTTGAGAAAGGACTAGGTCTGAAATGTCACTCACCTAGGGGTTCCTTGGGAATCACTGGGAAGACCTTGTCCAGAGTTCTGAAAATTTCTGAGAATTTGTCACTAAAGGAGTCAAGTAGGCTGTCCATGGTTCTACCCAGTAGTGTGCTTTCAATGTTTAACACCTGACTCTCTGGGAAAAAAGAAGTTTATTATAAAATTTACCGATATAAAATATGCATAGCTCACAATTTACAAATAATATTAACGTATACAACATTGATTTCCAAGGACAGGGAAAATAAAATAAAGTATGAAATAAAAAGTTAAAAAATGCAACATATTGTATTGTAAATCTCACATAGTCAACTAATTATCACAGGACTCTTCCACCGATTTTTACTGAACTCATGTATCAGTAGCCAACCTATGGTTGCAATTCAACCATAGTTTGACAAAATCAGCTACAAATATGTGCTTGATGGCAGTCTGGTTCAACACAGAGGTTGCTCACATCATTGGTGAAGGAGTACGGTTTCAATGTGAAGGACACATCAAAGACATATCAGAACTTTACTCATTTGTCAGTAATATAAGATACTTCTTTAGAGAGGCAGATAATAGTTTTCAAATACTGGAAGAATATCTCAATGTTGTGTGCTATTCACAATGTAACAGCTAAAAGGTGACACAGTTCAGGTTTAATCTACGTTGTTAACATTTCCTTTGTCACTTCCTTAAATCTAAACAATCAACAAAACAATCAACTGAGCACTGATTGGTAGTGTTTGCTGATTTCTTTGGTGTAAATACTCCCACTATAGCCAATTTCAAGCCATAATGAGACACTGTGAAATACGGAAATGGGAAGAGAGGTGTAGTAGAACACTATTAGATAGTATTTCCACTACACAGGTATAAAAGCATATTTAGTAGTAAAATGAAGTCAATTAATTAGGAAGCAATGAGTTTGGAGTACTATATTTATTATCTTGTTTTTAATTTAAATTTAAATTTCTAGCTTTATTGGTGTCTAATTAACAAATAAAAATTGTGTATATTTACAATGTACAATGTGATGCTTTGATATCTGTATGCACTGTTAAATGATTACCATAATCAAGCTAATTAGCATACCCATCACCTCACATAGATATTTTACCTTTGTTTTTTAATATAATTTATTTGGTTTTCATAGTTGTCATCTATTACCTCATATCTAGCCACTTCCTACATGGAGGTTTTCATTTCAGTCCTAGGTCATTTGCAAAACCTATTATAACACATATGCATTCTCTATAAATATTAACAAATCAGGCCCTATTTAGAAGGACAGAATTGTATAGACATAAAGACTGAAGACTTTGGAACCAGACAGACTGCAATTTAAAGCCTGGCTCTTTCACTGACTGGTCATGAATGACTGGACGAATGGCTTATATCTCTCAGCCTCTGTTCCTTGTCTGTAAAATGGAAATAATGGTACCTAACTTCCGCAGTTGTGGAAGGATTGAGTGAGATAATTTGAAGGTGTTTAGCAGAGTCCTGCATGCAGGCAGTGCATAGTAAGTGTAGCTCTTAATGTTAAATAATAGCCTACCACACTAGGTATGAATTGAACTCAAATGCTTTTTTCCACAATTAAATGAAATAGTGATGAAGGCGTGGAGAGCTTGGGAGGTGTATGTTCCAGGGGGCAGGGGGCCATTGAGTATTCAGTCTCTACTTCTGATACCCAACCTTAAATACTGTGCCTAGGAATGATCTGGGTCACAGAAACAAGAATCAGGGATCACAGCCACGTACTTGTCCCTGATCTTTGATTCTGGATGGGAAGAACACTAAACAATGACTGCTTGGTTTTCTTCATATTTCAAAAGTGAAAAATGTCTATTGTAGAAACTTTAGAAAATGTAGATGAGCCAAAATTTCCAGTAATTCCACAGTCTTCAATAATCACATAACCTCTATAAACACTTTGGTGTTTTTCTCCATACATTATTTTTTTCCTTTTGCAAGGATTGAATAATACCATAACACTATTGCATAATTTACTACACTTGCCTTGGACCATCACTGTTCAGTGCTGTCCTTCTCTCCATGATGTGTAGGAAGGGTGATCAGGGCTGGTTCTTGATGTCTGGTTTGTTTTCATAATACCGCTGCTGGCTCAGGGAACCTTGCACACAGTCAATCATTACTAGATGTTTATTTAGTGGAATTGATTGATGATTGGAGGAAGATAGGAACCAGATGTGATGTGGTATTGTGTTTTTGAATTCTTTTTATAAATTAAATTTGAGTTTTTTAAGCAGTAGAACTCTTTTATTCCAACAAACTCTCACCTGGAGCTGTGTGTTATAAAAAGGAGCACTGGCTGACATGAGTTTGGAACCACAGCCTTGCCCCTAAGTCTCTGCTCTTCACCCAGGCACACCTATCGAACCCGGGGATTCTTCTTGGACTTGAATCAGGAGACCTGGCTTTCAACCCTTGCCCTGCTACTGTGTCCTTGCACAAGTGTCATCTGCAAATCAGGTCTAGTAGGTCCCACCTCATGGGGTGGTTGTGAGGACTAAGTAATGCTACTCACCAAAACACATAGCACGGTACCTGGTGCAGAGTAAGCACTCAGAAGATGTGCTTTTCCGGTTTATTTCCCTTTCTCACTCACTCTTTTTTTTTTTTTTTTTTTTTTTAGACAGAGTCTCGCTCTGTTGCCCAGGCTGGAGTGCAGTGGCATGATCTTGGTTTACTGCAACCTCTGCCTCCCAGGTTCAAGCGATTTTCCTGCCTCAGCCTCCTGAGTAGCTGGGAGTACAGGTGTGTGCCATCACGCCTGGCTAATTTTTTGTATTTTTAGTAGAGATGGGGTTTCACCGTGTTAGTCAGGATCTCTATCTCCTGACCTCATGATCCGCCTGCCTCGGCCTCCCAGAGTGCTGGGGTTACAGGCGTGAACCACCGTGCCCGGCCCACTAACTCTTATTCTCCCACCTCCTTCCTCACTTTGCTCTCTCCTGTTCCCTTTTGCTTGGCTAACAGAAGTTTTTAGTCTAGGTTTCTAGGTGGAATGCGCCCACCCAATTCAGGTGCTGCTGCTGCCCGACCTCCTGTTCTGCCTCTGTTGCAGGGAGTCCCACCTCCCACTGTGACACTGTCCCCTCTTTCTGGTTCTGAGACTCTTCTGTGTCTGATTGAGGGGTTGAAGCACCAGGTGGAGGCATGCGGGTTCCAGTCCCCCTTGGGATACGTCTCTGACCCTTTCTGTTTTTATTTGAAAGGCTTAAGCATCCCTCTTGACTTAGAAATCAAAGCCTCCATTAGGGGCTTGTGTACCAACTGCTATTTCAAGACATGAAGTGGCTCTTGTTACTGGCAGTTCGGTGTAGTAGTTAAAGATGGAAGCTTTGGGATAAAAAAACCTGGGTTCAGATTGTGAACACCCCTCTTTGATCTGTGTCTTTGGGCAAGTCTCTGGACACTCCGTGTCTCAATTTCTTCATCTTTAAAGCAAGAATTATAGTAGTAGTAGTGCCAACCTCACCAGGTTGTTTTGGGACTAAAATGAGAACAAGTGTGTAGTGTTTAAAAAATATTAACATTTTAAACGTTGTAATATTTTTAAATATTTTAAAATTCAATCATATTTCAAATGTACTCATATACATTCCTTTTCAAACCAGAAAGGAGCCTTCACCTAACCAGTGGAACACAAGGGCGGGATAAGTGCACCCACGTGGCTAGGAGGAGGTAGGACCACATCAAGGTGTGCTTAGAACAGTGCCTTGCACATAAGCAGTGCCAGCTATTATTATTCTGCAAACATCTATTAAGAACTTGATAAATAATTATATAGTAAAATACAATGCAATGAATATATAATACAATAATTATATATACTCAAGTATATTTAATATGATGTAAATAATTATATTGTACAGCGTTGTACAATAAACAGTTGTATAATTGGACTCACTAAAAGATGCTCAAACTCACTGGTAATAAAAATGGGATTAAAATCTCTCTTTTTTTTTCATCCTTTCATTTTGGCCAAGATTAAAAGGATGAATAGTGCTAATATTGGTAAGGACCCAGGGAAATAGACAGTCTTTTGCACTGTTACTGGGCATAACTAAAACTTACATGAAGTATACCCTTTTGAACTAGCATACTACTTTTCAGAATTTATCCTAAATAATGATCATTTGTCTAAGCTATAATTTCAAGGATTTTCACTGTAGCATTGTTCATGATTATAAAAAACCTGAAACAATTTAAGAATCCAACAGTAGGATAATGATTAAGGAAATTTTGATATTTTAATACTATACTGCCATTAAAATTTACACTTTACATTTACATTTCTTTACAAAGGAAGATTGTATGATTAAGTGAAAAGAGCAGGTTACAAAACAGCATGCTATGGCCTGATTCTTATCTGTTTAAAAATATGTCCGGGTTATATATATGTGTATGTGTATGTGTATGTGTGTGCCCGTGTGTATGCATGTAGTAAAAATTCTGGAAATGATACACCAAAAAATTAATAGTGGGGGAGCTTTAGAAGATTTATGTTACTCTTAAAACATTTCTATAGAATCTGGGTTTTTTACAATAAATATGTACTATTTATACTCAGGAGAAAAGCACCAAGTTATTTCCTCTCACTCATTAAAGAAAAAAGGAACTTACTATTTATAAAGCAAAGTGCAGTGTATGGATGATCACAAGAAGGAGTTGGCCTCAGGGATGGAGGAAAGTTATGAGATACACACACATGGGTGGGGAGCTAAGTGATGAGAGATTTATTCCAACTCTGCATGTATGGTGGGGAGGTTCATAGAGGAAGTGACATTTGAACTTGACCTTGAAGGATAAGAATCAGCGGGACATGGAAAAAGCATCTGAATTGATAAGGCCAATGGTGATAAACTGCTTATAGTCTGAAGTTAACGGGATGAGTTTCCCCCCAAAATCTGCTTCTCAGTAAAGAAAGAATTGCCTTATATTTAAGTCCTTCAAGTTCCCCCACACTAGGGGATTCACTTCCAATTTTTTCACTTTGTAAAACTATATTAGCCTGAAATCACCTAAATCAATGTTAGTTTTCGATGCTTATACAGGTTTCCAGTACTGATTTAGGGATTATTTCTTTGAGCACGACTTCACAATGGCAAGTGTTAGATTCTGTTATAAATGCACTTTTTAGAAATCATGTTACAAAGCAATAGAGTACGTGGTTACAAGTGAAGATCATGAATATATATACATATAAGTACAGAAGAAAGAAAGATACAACAGTTATAATGGTATGTGAAAATAATATTTGCAGCTTCGGATAACATTTTTGTGTTATCATACACAGATTCAAAAGTGCTGTATCTCAAATGACTTAGATGGAAATGAAGATGAAGTTCTCTGGAAAACTGACTCAAAAAAGGTTCTAGTGATGAAAACAACTGAAGTTAAAATAAAATTGCTTCATGAAATATGAATATAGTTTCTAAATCAATGTATGATTTTTGTATACCATGTAATTTTATATGTGTATAGGTACCTAAGTTTAATTAAATATAATATGTTTCCATTTGGCTATTTCTATATTTAAAAAGTTTTTTCTCTGATTTTCTCATTGACAAGAAGGTGAATTGGCATTTAGGGTGTTGCCTTATATTCAGACAATATGATATTTCCTGTGTCTAACATACACATTTCTGATATTTATGTTATATTCAACTTGTGATACACTAATAATTAATAATAGCGACAGTTACCAACTTTGCCCACCTACTATGAACTGTGGAATGTGTTTTTTACATCTTTTAAACTTTATTTTTATTCCTCATGATAACCCTGCAAGGCAGATGTATTAGTTTTTCTGGGTTGCCATGACAAAGTACCACAGACTGAGTGGCTTAAAAACAACATAAATTTATTTTCTCACAGTTCTGGAGGCTAAAAGTCTGAGGTCAGGGTGTTGACCAGGTTGTTTTTTTCTGAGGGCTGTGAGGAAAAATCTGTTCCAGGCCTGTTCTCTGGATTCTGGGGGTTCGTTAGCAATCCGTGGTTCCTTGTCTTATAGAAGCATCACTCCAATTTCGCTTTCATCTGCATTTGGCATTCTTCCTGTGTGCGTGTCTGTCTCCAAATTTCCCCTTTAGATAAGGACACCAGTCATGTAGGAGTAGGGCCCTAATGATCTTGTTTAAACTTGATTACCTCTGTAAAGACCCTGTCTCCAAATAAGGTTTCATTCTGAGGCATCAGGTCTTAGGATGTCAACATATGAATTTTGGGAGATGCATAATTCAACCAGTAACAGCAGGTATGCTATTGTCCTTTTACAGGTGAGAAAATTAAGACTTGAGCCAGGTGTGGTAGCTTACACCTGTAATCCCAAGACTTTGGGAGGCTGAGGTGGGAGGATTGCTTGAGCCCAGGATTTCGAGACCAGCCTGGGCAACATAGTGAGACCCTGTCTCTACAAGGAAATTTAAAAATTAGCCAGACATGGTATTATGTGCCTGTAGTCCCAGTTACTTGGGAGAATGAGGTGGGAGGACTGCTTGAGTCCAAGAGTTGGAGGCTGCAGTGAGCTATGATCACACCACTGCGCTTCCAGCCTGAAATCTGAGTGACAGAGCAAGACCCTGTCTCAAAAAAAAAAAAAAAAAAAAAAAAAAAAAGAAGAAGAAGAAGAAAAAGAAAATAGAGATTTGAAACTGCACAACTATAAAGTGCTGGAGCCAGGGTCTGAACCCAGTGTGGTCTGAAGCCAGCGCATTGCCTGCTGTCTGCCATCCTGCCTTCCCAGGTCTGTTGTGTCCTGATGGATACTGCCTTAGGGAAATGCTCTCAGCAGCCATGGGGTCTGCAAGGTTTTATGTGAAGAGTTGATGCCACAGTTAATCTCTTTCATTCTGATAGCTTTATGTTTAAATGTGAACCAGAGTAAAAGTAGATAATTGTATCATATTTATATAACTAGACTTCACCCTTAGAAAACCCAGTAGCTAAAACCTAAGTTTGTTCACTTTGTTTGTTTACTATTTATTATATTGGGTACCTGTAACAGGTAGAAAATTCTGAGAAAATCTTAAAATACAGGATACTTGCCCTCATCCATTCCTTTTGCTAGACTGAGATGTACATAATCAAATGAAAATTTAAAATAGGAAGCCCACATATGAGCACAAACTTATACAGTACAGTACAAATCGCGGCAGATTTCTGATTTTAATTAGTTTCAGAAAAATGGAAAGTTAATTGGAAATCACGGCAGAACTTCTGATTTTTAATTAGTTTCAGAAAAATGAACCCACCCCATTCTCCGTGCTTTAGAACTTCCTCTGCCTTGATAGTGATTCTTTGAAGAACAGAGGATTAGGATAGAAAATCATGGTACCTTTCAGGATTCTGAAAGAGCCACAGACTTGCACTAGTTGTGAAAATGGAGATGGCAGCCACTTACTGAGCTGTGCGTCTGGTTCTGGGCTGTCGGCTTGATATGCATGGTCTAATTTCATTTCATTCTTGCAATAACCTGATGTCCTAGGTGCTATTTGCTCCATCTTATAGAGAAGAAAACTAAGGCTTAATGAGGTGAAACAGAGAATGACTGCTACGTTCATTCATTCCCCAAGTTCTTCCTGAGCACCCTGTCTTACCAGGCACTGAATGTGCAGTGGTTGATGGAACAAACCCTCCCAGAACGGAGAGTGCAATCTGGCTACGGCCACCTCCAAAGCCTATGCTCTTAACCAGCATGAAGGGAGAAACGCCATTCAGGTTAAAAAAAAAATGCTGAATAGAATCTGTCAACGCAGCCCCACAGACTGGATTAAAAATGGTCAGACTGGGCCGGGCACGGTGGCTCACACCTGTAATCCCAGCACTTTGGGAGGCCGAGGTGGGTGGATCACGAGGTCAGGAGATCGAGACCATCCTGGCTAACATGGTGAAACCCCGTCTCTACTAAAAATACGAAAAATTAGCCTGGTGTGGTGGCAGATGCCTGTAGTCCCAGCTACTTGGGAGGCTGAGGCAAGAGAATGGTGTGAACCCAGGAGGCGGAGCTTGCAGTGAGCCAAGATTGCGCCACTGCACTCCAGCCTGGGCAACAGAGTGAGACCTCAAAAAAAAAAAAAAAAAAAAGGTCAGACTGGCGAGAATGGCATTAGCTTGCTCATGGTCTCCACCAGCACTGTGGCACGACGATCAAACGCTGCTGTCATACTATCAGTGGGTCCAAACAACTCTGCCTGGTAAAATAAGGGGCCACATTATTGCCAAGGAGAGGTGAATGGAAGGCTGGGGTGTTTGCTGCCAATTGTTGATCGCGTTATATCCAAATCAGCATCAATATGGGGCTTGGGATGGGAGTTCACTGTAATATATCTAAAATCTTGAGCAGCACTCAGAAAAATACAGTTCAACCATTCCACTTCTAATAATGTGTTGTTATTGTAATTGTATTACCCAAATCTTATTTCTTTTAAGTTTTTCTAAAACTCTAGCCCTGAGTCTCTCAACCTCGGCACTATTGGCATTTGGAGCCTGATAATTCGTGGTTGTGGAGGGCTGTCGCGTGCACTGTAGAACATTTAGCACATCCCTGGACTCTACCCACCAGGTGCCACTGGCACATTCCCTGCCCCCAATTGTGACAACCAAAAATGGCTCCAGACATTGCCAAATATCCCCTGGGGAGCAGAATTGCCCCCTGGGGCTTGGGGTTAAGAACTACTGCTCTATAGAACTTGAGAAACAAAAAAATAAAAATAAAGGATAAAACAAAAAGAACTACTGCTCTAGGTCTATTGTATTATAGGCCTATTGTATTATATTTCATATTATCAGGCCAGTTGGCCAGCCAGCATTTACTGGGTATGTGCTAGAAGGCACCGGGGTCACAATGCGATTGGAGTTATGTTGGGAGGTCTCTCCATCAGGCAGAGGGTGAGTGTGACTGGGCCTTGAAGGGTTGGGGTGGGGAGGAAGAGTGAGCAGGCATGCACACAGCCTGTTTGGGGCCCAGGAGCATTATGTGTGGAGCAGGAATAGAAGAGAAGCCACGGCAGGTGGGTTGGGATTGGAGAGTCTTGAATGGCTGCACACAGCTGGGTCAGAGACTCTCAGGGGATAGGGGTTTCTTGTCAGGGTGTGGGGGCTGTAGATGAGTAGGGATCCCATGGGATTCTTCCTCATCCTGGGTCTGAGGTCTCTCCCTCAGCCCCTGGGGTGTGAGATCCTCACCTCTGTCCTCTGCCCATCGTGCAGATGCTGCTTCTCCTGCGTCCTCTGCATCTTGATGCTTTCTTATTCCTGCTCCTGGTTTCTGTTGGGTGGCTTCTCTCTGAAGCTCTCTGTTTACACTCTAGAGGGAGACTTTGAGTCTGTTTGGCGTAACAAGTTACCATTATCCTCCTTGGGCAGTTTTTGCACTGGCTACATCCTAGGTCATGGTTAGCCTAGCGCTGGGTGGCTGTGAGGCCAAGTGCTCAGCCATGGTCCAGTTCTCAGCTCTGTCTTGCTTGTGGATCTGCCTTGGGCTACTTTCCATATGACAGAGTGTGACAATGACTGGCACCATGGTTGACGTATCTGGAATGACAACCTAAGGGGTTGAGATTCTAATTCTGCAGACATTGAGCAGGGTCTCTAGGGTTCTGAGGGAGTGAAAGCTAACACCTCCCTTCTCCAGGGGCTCCATGTTGGAGAGGGATAGTCCTGAGGTTAAGCCTGGCCTGGATTCAAACCCCAGCGTGTTCACTGTTCACTTACTTCAGGCAGATTTAACCACTCAAAGCCTCAGTTTAGAGGTTGATGATGATGATAATAGTATCTACATCTCCAGCAAGCAGGGACTTTGCCTTTTTGCTGCTGGATCACAAGCTCCTAGCACAGTGCCTGGCACATAGTAGGTGCCGAGTACCTGTTTATTAAATAGGAATAGAGGCATTTATTGAGGATTAACAACACTCCAAGTGCTGTTCTAAGCATTTTACATGCACCAACTCATTACTTCTCACACTGGTGGGAGGGGGTAGAAACTGTTATTAACCTCTTTTTCCAGATGAAGAAACTGAGATCTGGAAAAGTTAAGTCACATAATGGAGGCACCTACAAAAATATTCAGGCAGCCTGGCTCCAGGACCTAAGCTCTTTGCTACCATGTTGTGTTTTTTTGGAATCCAAGATTCATTGATATAATCAGAAAAAGAGTAAGCCCTTAACAGATGGTAGCCACTTAAAAAAAAAAGAAGACACTTCCCATTAAACAGTAGATCCTGAAAACATGAGAAGGAAAGAACAGTACCTCAATACTAGGTATTATACAAATGCTTATCAGCTGGACAATCTGTCTGACCCTCTGTCTCTCTAGAACATAGGTATAGTTAAAAATAATTCTAGTGATGGCCAGGCGCAGTGGCTCATGCCTGTAATCCTAGCACTTTTGGAGGCCAAGATGGATGGATTGCCTGAGCTCGGGAGTTCAAGACCAGCCTGGGCAACATGGTGAACCCCGTCTCTGCTAAAATACAAAAAATTAGCCAGGCATGGTGGCACATGCCTGTAGTCCCAGCTACTCAGGAGGCTGAGGCACGAGAATCGCTTGAACCTGGGAGGCAGAGGTCACAGTGAGTCAAGATTGCACCACTGCACTGCAGCCTGGGCAACAGAGCGAGACCCTGTCTCAAAAAAAAATTTATAATAATAATAATAATCCTCAGTGATGATGCAGAGTTTACTGTGTTCTAAGCCCTTTATCTATATTAATTCTTCTAAAGATCGAATGAGGCAGGCATTTGTTATTCTCTGCATTTATAGGAGAAACAAAAAGAGGCACAGAGAAGTTAATTGCTCAGTCACACAGCTAGGAAATGGTGATGCTGGGATTTGAACTCAGGTGGTCTGGCTCATAACCAGTAGGTTATGCTGCCTGGGGAGACTCCCCTATGTGGACTGATTATGATGATACAGTCTACCAGTCACATGCAGCAATAGTAAGACTTTTCAGAGTCTCTGTTCCCCCAAGCAAAGGTGAAGGTATTTTAAATCTCAAATGTGTGATTCAGAGTCATGGCATGAAAATACCTCTGTGTGCTGCATAAATTGTGTGCAATCTCTGCTTCATTTTGCATGCATGCTTGAAGAACATTATTTTTCTTTCTATTACTTTGTGGCTTTTTAGTGTCTGGACATTCACCTATATTATCTCAAATATACTGTGAATTCCTTAAGAGCCATTTTCTCATCCAGAACTGCTTCATACCATGATCCTGACCACAATGGCCTCCAAACCTATATGAACCTATTTAAACACAATGCAAAACTTCTTTGATTCACTTGTGTCATTTGCAGTTAATGGAAATACCCTGAGTGTGTGTCATGCCCAGGGCAACGTGGAGGATAGCAAAGGTGGATAAGGCAGGCTTCTTGTTTCTGAGAGTTTGCAATCTACAGGGCCAGTTTGCTATGAAAACAGCCGCATATAATGAAGGCAGAATAAAGAAGTGCTCAGTTAAGATATAAGATGTGTGTTGTGGAAATGCTGTGAATGGAAGAATTAATTTTGCTTGGAGAGAATGGAATATTTTATCTGGACTGAAAGGAGCAAGGATCATTATGTTGGGAAGGAGGGAAAGGTGCTTGCCGCTAGGTGAGGTGACAAAAGTCAGTTGGGACTACATTGTTAGAGGATCCAAGTGGCAATTGAAGGAGTTTGAACATTATTCTGTAGGCAGTGGGGAGCCATTGAAGGATTTTGAGCAGCAGAGTGACATAATCAGCTTGTATTTTAGGAAGACAACTGGGTCAATGTGAAGGCCAGACAGGGGAAGGAAAGACTGGCTGCTAGGAGGTCATCTCCTAGAAGGTCATTTCAGTAGCCCAGGTGAAGGATGAAGGGGCCCTAGCTAAGTGGAAGTAGAAATGAGTAGGGGGAGATGGATATTTGTGACTGTGGAAGTGAGTTGACACAACCCAGTTACTGATCAGCTATCAGAGGTAATTGAAATAGAGGAACTGAAGTTAACGAGTTTGGTTTCCATCAAGATGAGTTTGTAGTGACAGAGGAGCCACAGAGTGGGCCAGATCCTATCCTCCTTTCCCCTAACCCACAGCACTGTGCAGTAACAGCCTGATGCCACATGACCTGCACAGGAGGTGATCGTCCTGTCTTTTGAATTATATCTGATAGAGAAAGATCCCAGGCCTTTTCTTCTGGAAGTCAAGTTACTCAGAGGCCCGATATAGGCCAAGGTCATTTCTACTAGCACCAAACCCACAGCTAGGAAGCAACTGGAAATGGAGGCCATCTGAGCAGATCAGGGTGAAGAAGATGTTTGAGGAAACAAATTCAGAAATGGAGAGGCGTGACTCAGGAATGTGAGAGATCTGGCCCAAGGGAAGTGGGAAGGCTCTGAAGTTCAAGCTCACTGAGGAGACTTGTCATTCCCCAAAGACCTGTCTCTGGCAGGGGACTCCTAACTGAGTACCACCAGGGTTTTTCTGGATGTCTCAGGTGAGTTTTCCTCCTTTACCTGAGCCTGGCTCACAGGTTAGTATCTGTGCACAGAGTCTCCTCTTCTCCATTATTGCCATTCATTTCCCAAAGCTGTCTGACGCAAACTAGGACAGGTGCCTTATTTGGTGCTGGGAATACAAAGGATGAATTCATACCCAGGCTCTCGACTCAAAGACCTCATAATCCCATGAGGGAGGCAATTAAGGAAATTGGAATCAAAACTTTAAAAAGGAATTAAACGTTACAGAATTCAAAGGAGGGAGTGATTCATTCAGCCTGCAGTAGGTGGAAGGGATGATGTTGATTTGGATTTTGAAGAATGGGGAGCAAACCAAACAAGAATGTGGCAAACACACTTTAGGCCAGGGCAACAACACAAACCCACTGAAAGTGTCCATGGAGATGGTTCTCAAAGGGATTGAGTGCAAGAGGAAGTCAGGGAAGGAACTGTCAAGATGCTGATGAGGAGGGAAAAGTAGATTTGGGCTGGATTGTGGTTCTGAGGAGTTGGGTAGTGGAAGAGACATGATCACACTGTGCTTTAGGGCTGCAGCATGGAGGAGGGATGATAAGGGGAGAGATGGGAGGCTGTTGTAGTAACACAGACCAGAGATGTTGAGGGCTGGCATTCTAGCGCCAGGTACACAGAAGAGGCGGCAAAGCAGCTATTGCAGACACGGAGTTTGCAGAGCTTGGTGACTGCAGATGTCGGGGGTGAGAAAGGAGAAACACCAAGGAGGTGATGGGCCTCTGTGTCCCCAGCCTACCTCATCCCTCTTCAGGATGCTGATGTCTCAGAGTGGTCACTGGGAAGACGGATGACGGTCCTGCCCGATGTCCATTGTGGGGCCGGATAGCTGCCCCCAAACACACAGCCTTAACAAAAGCAGCCTCGTTACACTGCCAGAGAAAAGGAGATTTCATTTTCTTTTCACAAATGAAACTTGCAGTTTCAAGAAGGCTAGATTTTAGCCTGTGGTTAACTGAAGAGTCAGAGATAGCTTTTGTAACAAGAAGAGGGAAGCCGTTTAGGACTGGCCCCTTCTGGCCCCTCACAAGGCCACAGGGGGAGGCTTTTAAGAGGATGGTTTTTTGGGGAAAAAAAAATGAAGTGGAGGGTGGGGTGGGGGAGATGTCAAAAATCAGGAACAAAAAAGCTCAGGCACCTCTCCAAGCCTGGCTGAGCAGTTGCCAGGAGGCCAGGTGCTGCTGCTGGAAGCCACACTTCCCACTTGGCATGGCCGCCTGTCGTGGCAGCCATTTCCTGCGCCTGGGCTGGGAGGGCTGTCTCCCTGCTGGTGTGAGCTCGCCAAGATAGTTTCAGAGAGGGAGATAGAGAGGGAGGGAAAGAGAGAGAGAGAGAGAAACAGACAGACAGAGAGACACCAGAAGGCCCTCATGGAGTAGTTCTGTCTGGAGGCTCAAGGGACAGGCCTGCCTTCTTCATTGCTCCTGAGAATTCACTTCTCCTGCCTGGTTCTGCCTGGTTCTTCCTAGGGCAGGAATGCTTCATTGTGAGGCTCAGGAAATTCTTTATTGGTTGAGCCCTTTCTGGTTCCAGCCCAAGCCGAATTGCCCCTGGGAGTGTCCAGAGCCTCTTAAAGGATACCCTCTAAATCCAGTTCAGAGCTTGGAGCCATTGTCTTCCAGAATCAGAGCACAGGGCTGGCCAGCCTCCAGTTGCTGTTCCTTCCATGTTTTCAAGCCACTGTTGGTTCTATTTCGTCTCTGTGAAGAATCATGAGGAAAAAATATGAATCTCTTTCTAACCATCTATTTCCCAGCAGTAAGGATGCACCTTGAAATGGTTGAAATGGGCTTCCTTCCTCAGCAGTGGGTTGTGTTCCTGGTAAGCAGACTCCGGTTGAACCACACCTCTCTGGGGCTGCTTCTTCCAAGCATGGAGACTAATTCTCACTCTCATCTGGTAATTTTTAATCCAAGTCTGTGTAGTGGGATAGGAATGAATGATGCTGGACCAGACACTTATTCAGCTGGCATTTATTGAGTACCGCTGGATGCTGGGCACTGGAAAAGGTGGGAAGTACGCAATATATAAAGAGACTGTACACTAGTTTACAAAATAGTGTGACTTGGCCTCTAGGGCCAGATGACCTGGGTTTGAATTGTTGCATCATCTTTTACCAACTCCAAGGCAGAGGACAAGTTGTTAGCTTCTCTCAGCCTCAGTATCCTCATTCATTTGAGGATCCCTGTTCCTTCCTCACAGGAACAGGGATCTTATGAGGGTTATGAGATAGTCCCCACAAAGCACTAATGAGCACGGTGCCTGGTGCATAACATGGAGTCAATAGGTGGTAGCTCTTATTATGAATGAGGTTAGCAGTAGATCATTTGGGAATGCCAGAGATGAGCCCAAAGATTGGGCTTTGCCTGGAGGAGGGGACACCGACCTGAAGAGGGTAAGCAGGAAAGAGGCAACAGAGAGGTAGCAGAAAGCTTCAGTTTGGGGAAGGTGTGGTTAAAAAGCCATCTGGAAGCCTTGTCCAACATGAGTGTTACACTCACTGACTAGGTTTGAGGAGGGCATGATTAAACATTCTCCAAAAGGTCTTGGGAGGTAAGCTTTGCCTTTTGAGAACTGCAACATTTATAAAATAATGAAAGGACTAAACTGGCACAAAAGCAGTAAGCTTTGTGGTGGTATTCTGGCTTGTAATTTGCATTAGACATAATTACATTTCTTAAACATAAAAGGAAATATTTGTGATCTGCAGAGAGGGGGCTCAAACACACAAAGGCAGGTCTCTCTTGGTTCTCTGACCTATTAAGTGACAATTATGGTACCTGTGTTAAACATCTTCTAAGTGAAATAACTTGCCATTAGTAGTTCTGTGCTACTAATGCATTTCCTCCCTCAGTTGCATAAATGCCAGCATTTGTGATTTTAAATAATAGCACATAAAAGCCTAGAAGGAATCTTTGAAGTATTTGCTGACTTTCTTTGCCACCACAATTTAGAATTTCAAGTTCCTTTCCTCCTTTATTTTTCCCTTCAGAGTAACTGTTGACCCCACTGTAGCACCAAGGAATAGGAATGGCCATGTATAGCAGAAAATCTAGAATAACAGGGACTTAAGATTGCAATTATTTTTCATATAAAAGAAGTCCAGAGGGCAGACATAGCTGGTATGACAGGGACCCGGCTTCTGTCTTTTCACTCCACCTAGGCTTCCATCCTAAAGTCACCTGTGATTTAGGAAAGTTGCTGGGGCTTCAACCATCAGGGCGGGAGGAAGGAGCAAGTAGGGGAGGACAGGTGGACAACACTTCCAGCTGAGTCAGCTCCCCTGGAGAGCTTTTCTGGAAGCCCCACTTAACACTTACGTACCATTCATTGGGCAGCACTTGGCCTCTTGGCCACGCTATCTGCAAGGGAGGCTGGAAAATGTAGTCTTTTAGTTGAGTGCGTTGGCACCTGGGCTAACACTGGGGTTCTGTTAGCAAAGAAGGAAAGAATGGACACTGGATGGCAGTCACAGTCTCGCCCATGCTGTCTTCTTTGAGGCATTTCAATCTACACCACTAGCCTGTATTTTTACATGTACCTTGCTCAGGAAAATGTGGTGTTCTTTGCAGTGAAGTGACTTTTTTTGTCCCCATCTCTGGTCTGGCCCCATTAGGTATCTCAAAGACTTTCTACAGCCTGGAGAAAAATGCCAAGGTTTGCTTCAAAGGAATGTGAGGATGGATACCCAGCATTTCCTGTCTTGAATCTCAACTCTTAGAGATCTATTCTTGGCTTCATTATCTTAACTGCCTTCATTTCAGCCTGTTACTTATTCTAATTTAAGCAACTGCCTTGACTCTCCTGTTTGATGAACCCACTGGCTGAGTCCACTACCCCAACTCTGCTTTCTTAACTGCTGGGCTCCCCTGTCTCTAAAACAGAGAAATGCCGTGGGTGGTCCTTTAGGTAATGTCTCCAAAAGGCCCCCTTGCCTGTGCCCTGTTTTCAAGTTGGATTGCCTGGGAAAAACTGAACCCTAAGGGGGTACTCAGACATTCAAAATGATGGGGAAGGGTCAAGATTATCAGAGCAGCTGATGGCCACTGGGGTATGGGATGAGGAGAGGGCAATTATGTGGGGCAAATCATCTTAGCTGAGAAAGGAAACTCAAGTAAGATAGCAGTTCCATAGAATCCAGAGATCAGGCTGGGTGTGGTGGCTCACGCCTGTAATCCCAGCATTTTGGGAGGCCGAGGCAGGTGGATCACTTGAGGTCAGGAGTTTGAGATCAGCCTGGTCAACATGGTGAAACCCCATCTCTACTAAAAACAAACAAACAAAAAACACAAAACAAAACAAAACAAAACAAAAAATTAGCCGAGCATGGTGGTGGGCACCTGTAATCCCAGCTACTTGGGAGGCTGAGGCAGGAGAATTGCTTGAACCCAAGAGGCAGAGATTGCAGTGAGCTGAGATCGCGCCACTGTACTCCAGCCTGGGCAACAGAGTGAGACTGTGTCAAAAAAAAAAAAAAAAATCCAGAGATCATATTTGTAATAAAGAGCAGGGCATCCCACAGTTGCATAGTCAGGTTTTTAAAGAAATCATTGAAAATAACTCCTGTTGCCTTTTTCCTTTTACAAAAGCAGCA